>NW_003315943.1:0-296527 GCF_000001405.40 Homo sapiens | reverse complement strand
GAATTCTGTAGAAATCACTTCCTTGCTATAATCAACTAGAAAACCAGACAGAATATACCGAAAAGCTGTTACCAAAAACTGGACAACAGACAGCCCAGAGCTGGGATCCCTGAGAGAAGGGAAACACTGCCCAGAAGCAGCTTCCAGGCTGCAGCACAGGAAAGGGGAACCCAAATAGAGCCCAAAGAACTTGCTGAGCTCAGGAGACAGATCAGCTATACGTAGGCCAAATGACAAGAATACAGCAAGCTCCAGAGATGAGTGGAGGGGCCCCTTGAGTATCTGTCTGAGTACTACTCTGAGCATAGGTTAAGAAAACTATGGAATACTGGGGAAAGCAGCACTAGAAAGTAATAAGCAGCACTGCCATGATGCACAGTCTGGGAAAAGCCTGTGTTTCCACAAACAAGGACAGAAAGATCTTCTCATACACCAAGCATCAGGTGGAGTCCTGAGAACAGTATTGCCTTCGTTGTATGGATAAATGAGCCCAAGAGTAAAGCCTGTGTGGATCAGCCTAACAAACCTCAGAATCAAGCTTTGAAAAGATCAAACTGACCCCATGTAACTTACATGTATGGCAGAAGAAAACTAAGGCTCTTTAAAAAAATAAAACAAAATCCTGCACAGAAGATAAAATTAATGCCTAGCATTCAATCAAAAATTAGCAGGCATACAACCATGCCCCCATAACTAGGGCAATCAATCAATAGAAATGACAGAATCAATCAACAGAGATGGATCTAGAAGTGATCAGAGATTACAGAATTCACAGACAAGGACATTAAAAGCTCTCTTACAGAAATTCTCCCTATACTAATAGAAGGAAAGCATGAATGTTATAAGGAGTGAAACAGAAGATATAAAAAGGACTCAAATGGAATCTCTAGAAATGAAAATACAAAATGGATGGATGAGATTAACAGAACTGCATAACAGTTACAACCATAATCTACAATGTCTAAGCACATGGCTATGCCATGCTCTCTCCCTTAACACTCATGCAGTCTAGGTTTAACAAATAACTGTTTCATGCCCATCATCAGTTGCAGGTTGATCTACAGTCATCCAGTTGTCTAAAGATCTTTCTCCACTCCATTCCTAAGGAAGGGCTCATGAGAACAATACTTCCTAAGTTACAGCTCACTGAGAAGTTTGTGTGTTTTTCATCTGAAAAGTCGGTTTTGCTGGAACAAAAAATGCTTTACTCACATTTTCTTTTCTTGAGTGCCTTAAACAGGATACTCAATTTCTTCTTCATAAAGAATTGTCATCTGCTGGGCTCAGTGGCTCACTGCTGTAATCCCACCACTCTGGGAGGCCAAGGCAGGTGGACTGCCTGAGCTCAGGAGTTCAAGACCAGCCTGGGCAACATGGTGAAACCCCATCTCTACTAAAAATATAAAAAATTATCTGGGTGTGGTGGTGCACACTTGTAATTCCAGCCACTTGGGAGGCTGAGGCACGAGAATGGCTTGAACCTGGGAGGTGGAGGTTGCAGTGAGCTGAGATAGTGCCACTGTACTCCAACCTGGGCAACAGAGTGAGACTCTGTCTCAAAAAAAAAAAAAAAAAAAAGGAATTGTCATCAAAGTCCTACGGCTAAACCCTTTTCCTTTTTTTTATAACAAGTATTGCTAGTCTTTTCCAAGAACCAAAGTTAAAAGTTAGTTCTTTAAAACACCAGGCCAGGCACAGTGGCTCACACATCTAATCACAGCACTTTGGGAGGCCAAGGCAGGAGGATCACTTGAATGCAGAAGTTCTAGACCAGCCTGGACAACAAAGCAAGACCCTGCCTCTACAAAAAACTTTTTTTTTTGCTGCAAAATGCTCTTAATTAACCTGACAAAATGCCACATACAGGGTTACTGCATCTTTTTTATCATGGAATTTTGAAAACAAAAATTGTTCTCTTGAGGCAGCAGTATTTGGATATTAGAGGTAAAAACCACCCTTAGAATCCAGTCCTAAAAACATCAATGAATATTCCTATATTTACAAATTCTTCTATTTCTACATGTCATCTATCAACAGGATTATGAACCTGAAAGCCTGAGAATAGAATTTATCAAGATACTCATGTTTGTACTTTTTTTATCTACTGCCCTTTTTTATTTTTTTTGAGACAGATTCTCGCTCTCTCACCAGGCTGTAGTGCAGTGGCGCGATCTCAGCTCACTACAACCTCCGCCACCTGGGTTCAAGCGATTCTCCTGCCTCAGCCTCCTAAGTAGCTGGGACTACAGGCACGTGCCACCACACCCAGCTAATTTTTGTATTTTTAGTAGAGATGGGGTTTCACCATGTTCGCCAGGATGACCTCGATCTCCTGACCTCAGCCTCCCAAACTGTTAGGATTACAGGCTAAGCCACCACACCCGGCCATCTACTGATATTTCTAAGCATGAAGTGACATTTTTTTTTTTTTGAGAAGGAGTCTTGCTGTGTTGGCCAGGCTGGAGTGCAATGGCATGATCTCGGCTCACTGCAACCTCCACCTTCTGGGTTCAAGCAGTTCTCCTGCCTCAACCTCCCAAGTAGCTGGGATTACAAGCGCACACCACCACACCTGGCTCATTTGTATTTTTAGTAGAGACAGGGTTTCACCATGGGGGCCAGGTTGGTTTTGAACTCCTGACCTCAAGTGATCCGCCCTCCTCGGCCTCCCAAAGTGCTGTGATTACAGGCGTGAGCCACCGCGCCCAGCCGAAGTGACTATTTATATACAATAAGTTTAACTGTAAAAGCTTACATTTATGCGTGGTCATTTTTAATTGATGATTAGATGAAGAGACAAATAAATGGTCCCAGTTTAGCTACTGATATACTCAACAAACCTTGACGGACCTGAGGGCATTATGCTGAGTAAAGAAAATCATTTCCGAAGGTCACATATCACTTGGTAATCTCACAGTAACAAAATTATAGAGATGAAGAACAGATCAGTGGTTGGCAGGAGTTAGAGATGGTGGCAGAAGAGAGGCAGGAGAGAGATCTTTCTGGTGATGAAACAGTTCTGCATAGGAAATTGTAGTAGTAGTTATATTTACAGACACTTGATAGAATGGCACAGAACTACGCACACACATTGTACCAACTTCAATTTCTGGGTTTTTATACTCTATTATGGTTACATAAAATGTAACCACTGGGGCAGTATGCGCAAATATACAATGACCTCTCTAGTTTCTTTACAACTTCCTGAGAGTCTATTATTATTTCAAAATAAAAAGTTTTTTTAAAAATTGCTTCATGCATATCTAGTTTCATGTGCCACTTAAAAAAGAACCCAAAAATAGAAACTGTAGGAAATTCATCTGAGTGCAGCTTATGCAAGAAGGGGCAGGATAACTCCATTCTGGACCTATGCTCAAAGACATGCACCTTTACCTTACAACAAAACTGGCGAACAGGCATGTGTTTTAAGAATAAAAAGCTTTTAAGGTCTCATATATTGGTTTTTATGATTCCTTTGCTTAACTGACTTTTTGGTTTGCTAAAAAACTACCAATCACATCAGATTAGAAGTACTTTCACGGTAAAAATAAAAAGTGATGTGACTGACACCTCTTACCTCTGTAATGTATTACTCTTCACGAGAGCAGTGAAGGAAAACATGGTGATTCAATCACTCCACACATCAAGCAGAAAAGAGTGTTGAACAGGCCAGGCGCGGTGGCTCACGCCTGTAATCCCAGCACTTTGGGAGGCCGAGGCGGGTGGATCACTTGAGGTCAGGAGTTCAAAACCAGCCTGGCCCACATGGTGGAACCCTGTCTCTACTAAAAGTACACAAAATTAGCCAGGCGTGGTGGTGGACACCTGTAGTCCCAGCTACTCGGGAGGCTGAGGCAGGAGAATGGCATGAACCCAGGAGGCTTGCAGTGAGCCAAGATGGCACCAATGCACCCCAGCCTGGGAGACAGAGTGAGACTCCGTCTCAAAAAAAAAAAAAAAAAAAAGTGTTGAACAATTAAACTGTTTATATGTAATAACCAGATATATATGCCTGGCATAAAATGAGCCCTGCATTAGAGGTTGCTGGATGTAGGGTCCTAGGCCTGACGTATCCAAATAATGTCTATGATAAAGAAGTCAATAAGTGCTCTCTATAACACACAAGCATTATAAGTTTTCACACTCCAAAAACTCTTCCTTTCTAAAGTTACTAAAACTTTTAAGGGCATTTCAAACAAAAACAGCTGTGGAAAACAGATCGGTTAAATCCTATGGCTAAGAAACATCTTCCTATCCCATGTATTATTCATTACCCAGGTGTCAATTCTGTTTCCAATACAAAAGTCTCAAGCAGTGAAGCGCTTCCCACTCCAGCTGGGAGAGCCATCCTCAACAAGATAAGGGTAAAACCTGTGAGCACAAGGCTTCCATCTGCAATTCCTGTCTGCAGGGAAGCTCCCCAAAGAGGGAAACCATGTCTTATTCCTTACGGTAAAACACCACCATTCATTCCTTGTGTTTAACAACCAATGCTGGTGGAACATAAAACAAAACTTAGCAATCACTTTTTTCATGCTACTTAGACCTGTAACACATTTTTCCTCTGGTGCACACTATCCAAAACCTAGTCGTTTCCCTTACTCCTAGGAGGAATTTAGATGACTTTTTTTTTTGGCCAGGTGCAGTGGCTCACGCCTGTAATCCCAGCAATTTGGGAGGCCGAGGCAGGCAGATCGCTTTGAGGTCAGGAGACCAGCCAGGCCAACACAGTGAAACCCCATCTCTACTAAAAATACAAAAATTAGTCGGGCATGCATGGTGGCACACACTTGTAATCCCAGCTACTCGGAAGGCTGAGGTGGGAGAATCACTTGCATTCGGGAGGCGGAAGTTGCAGTGAGCCAAGATTGCGCCACTGCACGCCAGCCTGGGCGACAGAGCAAGACTGCGTCTCAAAAAAAAAAAAAAAAGACTTTCTAATCATATTGGAAATGTGTAACAAGGACCAAGTACTGTGTATTAAACTTAATAAATCAAAACAACAGGCCCTCTAAGATATAAATGGTGCTTCACTGTATGTTTATCTGCCCAACCCATCATAGGAACTCAATTCAGCATTAAACTGGTTTTAGATCAAGACACTAGAACTCATGTTTAGCAGTTATTAAATTACAATTATTAAGAAAAAAACTTCATTACGTAAAGTCCTTTACTCCAAAAAGTTTCTCAAAATACATAAACACTAATATAAAAACGACTATTAAAACTTTGCCTGAATCTCAGGATTTCAGAAATATGAAAGTACTCATCTCTCACGTCTCCCATCCACTTAAAATGACAAAACAGATCATTATAGCTAAATCAAAGGAAATGTTTAAAGAGAAACAAACCCAAAGAGTAACTACACCAATTCTTGACCCAATTCTCTGTACTCTGTCTTATGTAACATTACACTATGAATAACAATCCCATCATCCACAACAGCTTTTTTTTTTTTTTTTGAAAAAAAAGCTCTCATTGTCCAGGCTGGAGTGCAACGGCACAATCTTGACCCATTGCAACCTCCACCTCCCGGGTTCAAGCGATTCTCCTGCCTCAGCCTCCCGAGTGGCTGGGATTACAGGCATACACCACCACGTCTGGCTAATTTTGTATTTTTAGTAGAGACGGGGTTTCACCATGTTGGTCAGACTGGTCTCCAACTCCTGACCTCAGGGCATCCACCCGCCTCGGCCTCCCAAACTGCCGGGATTACAGGCGTGAGCCACTGCGCCCAGCCACGCAACACAGCTCTAAACACTGGACTCTCATATCCACCAACACTCAATACCTGTTTAAAAAGAAAAAAAAAATTAGGAAGGGGCAATAACACTTCAGTGTAAGTATCCATGATCAACTACTGCTTAACAGCCTACACGACTTTTGATGAACAGTCAAGGCACATTACTTAATACTTAAAATGGTTAACCTTAGGGAGTAGGAAAATACAGACACACACAAAATATTTCAAACACTTCTTTTTGCTGCTGATAAGGAGTTCCAAAAGTAGTTTTTCCAAGCCATTTCCAAATAAAAGTAGATTGGGTGTAAAGAACTGTCTATCGAAATATTACCGTTATTATTTATTTAATAATGTCCTGACAAGCTTGCAATTATCTCATTAAATCAAAAAATTAGGATCTAAGGCCAACATTGTTTCCTCATATTCTTGATGTGAAAATCTGAGCACTCCTCTTAATAAGGAGTTACAAAGACAAAACAAACAGCTCAACTGAACTAACTCGTCTCTCCAGAAACACAAACACAAGACCTCATAAAATGAGTGAGTTTCTATAGGCCATAATTACTGCAACTTACTTCTCCAATTTTCCCCTCCACAGTTAACTCAACAGCTCAAAAACGATCAGTAACAAACAACAGTCACCATGATATGGTTAGGAGTGTGGCAGATTTCTTAACCAGTAATAATAAATAGGAAAAAAATTTTCTCTATTAATAGATCTCAAGTTTCGTGCACTTGCAAGAAACTAATTAAAAGGCAGCCGCGCACGATCTACAAAAACAGCCATAAGACTGTTACATTTTAAGTTACAGGAAATAAACCTGCTCCTCTAATTCAGCAAGATACAACTGACTTCCCCTTACATACCCTAAAAAAAAGCCTTACACGAGAAATTTAAACATGGAAGCAGAAACACACCAAGAAAAAGACATGTCAAACCCCACCTGTATATCTGTTTTCAACCATTTGGAGTCGAGGCGAGCCTGGGCAGCCAAACAGAAAGATTCAGAGGGCATCTTTTCTCCAGCTTCCTCCCAGGTCTCAGGCCTGCAAGTAAACACATACGCTGAAGACCTAATGCTTTTTAATAGTTTACAAAGACACTCCCGAAAGGTTCAATGCACAAAAGAAAAAAGAGAGAGAGAACAGAAAGGGGGGAGAGAAGAGCTGGTGGAGGGGAGAGAAGGGGAGAGAGGGAAAGAGGGAAGAGATGGAGGGAGAGGGAGGTGGGGAAGGGAAAGCCTCCTTCCAAGGTAGGCAGGGTGTGCCGAGTTTCTGCACCACGCTGACGAGACCTTGAGAATGGACGGTCACAGGAAGCCAAGTCACAATGTCATCCCCCTGCCCTCAAATCCAAGAAGTACACACACATAACACACATCGTTTTAACGACAAATGACAGCAGCATGAATCTGCCGCTTTACCCCACAGCAGGGCGCGTGCGTGAAACAAATTACTCAAAAGGATCGCCTGCAGAAAAACCCACAGCCACCACCACTTAAGAGATGGAGAGAGGCCCGAGGCTGCCCCGCGGGTGGTCCGCGCAGGCCCCGGTGCGGCCGCCGCGCCCACGCCCGCCTCCCGGGCTCGGCCGCCCGCCAGCCCCGCGCCCGTACCGCCCCCGCCACCGGCCGCCCAGGTGCCCCAGGCCAGGACCTGACGCGCAGGGCCCGGCCGCCTCGCCTCGCCGGCGCGCGGACGCAGCCTCCCAAGAGCCGCTGGCTCAGCCGGCGCCCGCGATCCCGGCGCCTCTCGCGGCCCGAGGGGCGGGCCGACGCGGGACTGCCGCCCCCCGCGTACGGCCAATCGCAACGAGGCTGCTCCGTGGGCGCAGCCAATGGGGAAGAGGAGCCCTTCGCCGCTCCTCCCGACTCTCCCGCTTCCAGCAATCCCGCTTATCTTCCTACTTGGAGCGCCCTGGCTGCGGCCAAGGCCAACAGCGGGCGCCGGAAGGCGGGATTTCCGCCGCACGCACGCACTCCCGCACTCCCACGGGAGACTGCTTGGCCCGGAGCGCTCTTGATCACGCCGCGGCGGGTGGTGGCGCTCACACTAACTATAGCTATCCAGGGCGCGGGTCGAGTGGCGAGACCAGCTCCCCTGGGTATGAGAACGCATCTTTGTGCGGTCGGCTGGCTGGGGCCTGAAGAGCTTCCTCCTGTGTGTTCAACTGAACGCAGCAAAAGTCTTGGGCAGATTCCATGGAGCAGCTGTGGAAGCACTGTGCAGGGAATCGAAGAAGGAAACACCTCCGGCGACCACAAAACAAAATTGAAGAACTATAAAACAATATAGGCCGGGCGTGGTGGCTCACGTATGTAATTCTCAGCGCTTTGGGAGGCCGAAGCGGGAGGATCCCTCGAAGCCAGGAGTTGGAGGATCCCATGTTGCCAGACTGGGCAACATAGCAAGACCCCATCTCTAAAAAATAAAAATAAAAAAATTTAACAATTAGCCAGGTGTGGTGGCACACACCTGTGATCCCAGCTGCTCGGGAGGCTGAGACAGGAGAATCGCCTGAGCCTGGGAGATCAATGCTACAGTGAGCTTAGATCGTGCCACTGCACTCCAGCCTGGGCGACAGAGTGAGATCCTGCCTCTAAGAAAGAAAAATAACGGCCGGGCGTGGTGGCTCAGGCCTGTAATCCCAGCACTTTGGGAGGCCAGAGCAGGTGGATCATCTGAGGTCAGGAGTTCAAAACCAGCCTGGCCAACATGATGAGACCCCTTCTCTACTGAAAATACAAAGATTAGCCAGGTGTGGTGGCACGTGACTGTAATCCCAGCTACTCGGGAGGCCGAGGCAGGAGAATCGCTTGAACCCGGGAGGCGGAGGTTGCAGTGAGCCGACATTGCACCACTGCACTCCAGCCTGGGGGACAGAGGCTGCACCACTGCAGCCTTGACTTACCGGGTTCAGGTGGTTCTCCACCTCAGCCTTGCCACTAGCTGGGACTGCAGGCACATGGAACCACACCTGGCTAATTTTTGTAGTTTTTGTAGACGGGATTTTGCCATGTTGCCCAGGCTGGTCTCGAACTCCTGGGCTCAAGTGATCCGCCCGCCTCAGTCTCCCAAAGTGCTAGGATTACAGGTGTGAGTCACTGCACTCGGCTAATAGTAATGAACTTTGAACAGAAGGAAAGTTGTTATTATTTTCTTGGTTATGTTCTATCTATATTTTCTAATTTTTCTAAACATGTAAAGATAAAATTCTAAAAACTCAGACCTCAGAACAAAAAAATTAGAGTATAAATATTTATTTTAGTTAACTTGTACAAATTTGGTTTCTGGAAAAAGAATGGAATAGATTTTCTGAGAAAAAAAATCCACCACTTTGGCCGGGCGCAGTGGTTTACGCGTGTAATGCCTGCACTTTGGGAGGCTGAGGCGGTGGATCACCTGAGGTGAGGAGTTCAAGACCAGCCTGACCGACATGAAGAAACCCCTGTCTCTACTAAAAATACAAAAATTAGTCAGGCCTGGTGGCACGCACCTGTAATCCCAGCTACTCAGGAGGCTGAGGCTGGAGAATCGCTTGAACCCAGGAGGCAGAGGTTGCAGTGAGCTGAGATCGCACCATAGCGCTCCAGCCTGGGTGACAAAAGGAAAACTCTGTCTCAAAAAGAAAGAAAGAAAAGCAGACTGGCTGAAAGGATTGAAGAACAAAATATGATCCACCAATGTGCTATCTACAAGATAAACATTTTAAATACAGAAACAGATTGAAAGTAAAGGGATACAAAGATACAATTAAAATAGTAACCAAAAAAGAGCTGAAGGGGCTGTACTAATATCAAATGTAATACACTTTAAATTAAAGCAGGGCTGGGCATGGTAGCTCAGGCCTGCAATCCCAGCACTTTGGGAGGTGGAGGCAGAGAGACACTTGAGCCCAGAAGTTCGAGATCAGCCTGAGCAACATGGCATAATCCCATCTCTACAAAAAATACAAAAATTAGGCGGGCATGGTGGTACCCACCTGTGGTCCCAGCTATTTGGGAGGCTGAGGTGGGAGGATCATGTGAGCTGGGGAAGTTGAGGCCGCAGTGAGCTAAGATCGGGCCCCTGCACTCCACCCTGGGCAACAGAGCGAGACCCTGTCTGAAAATAAAAAAAAATAAAAAACGGGGTTGAGAGACAAAAAAGGACATCCTTTTTTTTATTATTGTATTTTGAGATGGAGTTTCGCTCGTTGCCCAGGCTGGAGTGCAATCGTGTGATCTTGGCTCACTGCAACCTCCGCCTCCCGGGTTCAAGTGATTGTCGTGCCTCAGGCTCCCGAGTAGCTGGCATTACATGTGCCTGCCATCACGCCCAGCTAATTTTTGTATTTTGGTACAGACGGGGTTTCACCATGTTGGCCAGGGTGGTCTCCAACTACTGACCTCAGGTGATCCACCTGCCTTGGCCTCCCAAAATGCTGGGACTACAGACATGAGCCACCGCGCCAGCCGAAACCTTCATTTTAAAAAAGGCTGGGTCAGGCATCATGCCTCATGCCTGTAATCCCAGCACTTTGAGAGGGCAACGCAGGCGGATCACCTGACGTCAGGAGTTCGAGACCAGACTGACCAACATGGTGAAACCCCGTCTCTACCAAAAATATAAAAATTAGCCGGGTGTGGTGGCACACACCTGTAATCCCAGCTACTCAGGAGGCTGAGGCAGGAGAATTGCTTGAATCTGGGAGGTGGAGTTTGCAGTGAGCCGAGATTGTGCTGCCACACTGCAGCCAGGGTGACAGAGTGAGACGCCATCTCAAAAAATAAATAAAGGCTGGGTGCCAGATGTGGTGCATAGGCCTAGTTTGTTGACTCCTGTACTTAACATATAAAACTCTAAAGAACAGTGGGAAGGAGCTTCCCTCTAGAGGCACAGGACCGGCCAAGTTGGTCCCTGAGCAGTGACTTTATAATAACATGTTACACTGTGTTTTTTGTTTTTGTTTTGTTTTTTGTTTGTTTGAGACGGAGTTTCGCTCTTGTTGCCCAGGCTGGAGTACAATGGCGTGATCTCAGCTCAAAACAACCTCTACCTCCCAGATTCAAGCGATTCTCCTGCCTCAGCCTCCAAAGTAGCTGGGATTTCAGTCATGCAACACCATGCCCGGCTAATTTTGTACTTTTAGTAGGGATGGGGTTTCTCCATGTTGGTCAGGCTGGTCTCGAACTCCTGACCTCAAGGGATCTGCCCGCCTCGGCCTCCCAAAGTGCTGGGATTACAGGCGTGAGCCACCACACCCGGCCTATATTTTTTTTCTTTTTTTTTAGACACAGTCTGACTCCGTTGCCCAGGCTGGAGTGCAGTAGCGCGATCTTGGTTCACTGTAACTTCTGCCTCCCAGGTTCAAGCGATTCTCCTGCCTCAGCCTCCCAAGTAGCTGGGATTACAGGCATGCACCACCACATCCGACTAATTTTTGTATTTTTAGTAGAGATGGGGTTTCACCATGTTGGCCAGGCTGGTCTCAAACTCCTCACCTCAAGTAATCCGCCCGCCTCGGCCTCCCAAAGTGCTGGGATTACAAGGCGTGACCCACCGGGCCTGGCCCTGTGTGTTGTTTTATGTATGTTTCTATATGTGTTATATTTCACAATAAACTAAATATTAAAACAAAGAATAACTGATAGCTATGCACAAAGGTATTTAAATTTCACCCTCACAGATAATTTTTTTTTTTTTGAGACAGGATCTCACTCTGTTACCCAGGCTGGAGTGCAGTGGCACCACCTTGGTTCACTGCAGCCTTGACCTCCCAGGCCCAAGCGATCCTTCTACCTCAGCCTCCTGAGTAGCTGGGACTACAGGCACACTCCACCACACCCACCTAATTTTTGTATTTTTGGTAAAGATGGGGTTTCACCATGTTGGCCAGGCTGGTCTCGAACTTCTGGGATCAAGGAATCCTCCAACCTTGGCTTTCCAAAGTGCTGGTATTACAGGCGTGAGCCACTGTACCCGGCCAAGAATAGTTTCTTCTCCTTACCTAGGTAGAGACCTCTGCAGAAATGCTGGGAGATCTTTGGAGAGGGGAGATTTTTTAAATAAAAAATTTAATACTTGGAGGGGCGTGGTGGCTTACCCCTGTAATCCCAGCACTTTGGGAGGCCAAGGCGGACAGATCAGGAAGTCAGGAGATTGAGACCACCCTGGCTAACACGGTGAAACCCCATCTCTACTAAAAAAAAATACAAAAAATTAGCTGGGCATCGTGGCGGGCGCCTGTAGTCCCAGCTACTCGGGAGGCTGAGTCAGGAGACTGGCGTGAACCTGGGAGGCGGAGCTTGCAGTGAGCCGACATCGGGCCACTGCACTCCAGCCTGGGCGACACAGCAAGACTTCGTCTCAAAAAAAAAAAAAAATTAATACTTTGGGATGCCAAGGCAGGTGGATCACGAGGTCAGGAGTTCAAGAACTGCCTGGCCAAGATGGTGAAACCCCGTAAAAATACAAAAATTTGCCGGGCTTGGTGGCAGGTGCCTGTAATCCCAGCTATTCAGGAGGCTGAGGCAGGAGAATTGCTTGAACCTGGGTGGCAGAGGTTGCAGTGAGCCAAGATAGCACCACTGCACTCCAGCCTGGGCAATAAGAGTCAGACTCTGTCTAAAAAAAAAAAAAAAAAAAAAACTGATCTAGTTCAAAACCTCACTTTGAATCCACCCACATTGCTCTAAAATACTTTCATCTTTCCTGTGGCTAAAACCTTAAAGCCTTGCCAGTAACTCCCATTGCACTTAAGGAAATCCAATCTCCCTTGTTGTGGCCCCTGAACAGGCTGCTGCTGGCCCACCACGGTGCCTCTAGTTTGTGTAAAATGCATATGTTAATTTATAATATATGAGGCTTTTTTAGCTCTAAAAGGCTATTATTCACTAGTTGCTGTGTGAATCAGTATTTCTGGGTGCAGTTAGAAATTATTAGAGTTGATGCCCAAGACTCATCTCCATCAGCACGGGGGAGGCATCTGCTCGTTTTATGGTCAGTGACTCTGGGCCTCCTGCTGGGCTAAGTCCTGAGGTGGGTCTGACTCAGGTCAGAGCTGTGCACCCCGGCCCTCCTCCTCAACGTGCATGAGTGCTCTTTAGGATGGAGCTGAACACTGGCTTCTCAAAACCACTTGGCCCCATCACAGGCCCTGAGAACTGATTGGGTCACTCTGGTGGGCTCCCCAGCCCTAGCCAAGAAGGGTTTCTCTAGGGAGCCTGGCCCCCCACTTATGAGACCTGGAGCCCCAAAGATCCTGACCAGGGGCCTGCCTCCTCCAGGGAGGGGCCACTCGCCCCCACCAAGCTCCCTTCACAGAGACCCATCCAACAGAGCTGAGGAAAACCATGCCTCATAAATGAATAAATACATAAATAAGAATGCCGGGGACCTGTGGATTTTGTAATTCCTGAAAGAAGGCAGAGTGGCTGGCTCACAGCAAGCGCAGTAGGAGATACTGCTCCCCGGCCAGGCTGTTCTCTGTCTCTTTGGAGGGAGCCCTAGGGTACAAGAAAAGCCAGAGGAGACCAGCTGGCCCAGAAGGTGCCTCTCCACCCCTTCCCCAGAGTTTCTGGGAAACAAAGCCCACCCGAGGGACACATGCCTTCTTGGGAGTTGTACCAGGCCTCCTTCCTCATCCAGCCATGCAGTGGTTTTCAGTGCCCGAAACAGATGAATAAAATAGGCCCTTTACGGGATGTTCTTCAGGAACATGCACACTTCTTTGGATCTTACCATCGTTTTATCTCTATTTAAAGTTAAATGCTGTGTTATACAGAGTATTGGTAAAGATGTAGAGCTACAAGAACTGTCAAGCTGGCAGTAGCATAAAATTGTATAAGCACATTGGAAACCTGTTTGGCAGCTTCTACTAAAGCTATATCTATGCCTACCTTCAGAAATTCCATCCTAAGCATGTACACAAGAGAAACGAGTGCATATGTCCACAAAAAGACTTATATAAGAATGTTCACTGCCATTTTTATTCATAAGAGCCCCAAATGAAAACAACCTAAATGTCCATCAACAGGAGAGTGAATAAATGGTGATACAGTCACATCATGGAATACTACACAGCCAAAAAAGAAAAATGAAGTGGTAGGAACACTCAACGACATGGGTGAATAGAGGGAGCCAGGTATGAGAGACAGTGCACAGTACCAGCCCACCTAGATGAAGCGCAGGAAGACAGAACTGACGATGATTGAAGTCAGAAGAGTAGTTTCCTTTGTGGGAAAGTGTAGGTCAGGAAGGAGCCTTCTGGGGTACTACAAATCTGCCGTATTTTGGCTGGGTGCAACAGCTCACACCAGCACTTCGGGAGGCATAGGCGAGAGGGTCACTTGAGCCCAGGAGTTAGAGACCAGCTTGGGCAACACAGCGAGATCCCATCTCTACAAAAAAATTAAAAATTAGCGTGGCATGCTGGTGTGCACCTGTAGTCTCAGCTACTCAGGAGGCTGAGGCAGGAGGATTGCTTGAGCTTAAGAGTTTGAGGTTGCAGTGAGCTCCCAAAGTGCTGGGATTACAGGTGTGAGACACTATACCAGCCTGATTTTTAAATACTGACCAAGCCTTGTGTTACTGGGATAGGCATCACTTGGCCACGATTTACTACTCTCTTTCTTTTTTTTTTTTTTTTTTTTGAGACAGAATTTCACTCTGTCACCCAGGCTGGAGTGCATTAGTGCAATCTCAGCTCTCTGCAACCTCTGCCTCCTGGGTTCAAGCAATTCTCCTGCCTCAGCTTCCTGAGTAGCTGGGATTACAGGTGTGCACCACCACACCTGGCTAATTTTGTTTGTTTGTTGTTTGTTTTTAGTAGAGATGGGGTTTCACCATGTTGGCCAGCCTGGTCTCCAACTCCTGACCTCAAGTGATCCACCCTCCTTGGCATCCCAATATTCCTATGATTACAGGCGTGAGCCACTGCGCCCGGCCCTATTCTGTTTCTATATTGCTAAATTTGACTTGCTAACACGTTTTTGAGGATTTTTCTGTTGATGCTCATCAGGGATGTTGGTTTGCAGTTTTCTTTCTTTGTATTATACTATCTTGTCTGGCTTTCTGTCAGGGGAAAGCTGACCTTATACAAAGTATTGGCATGTGTTCCCTCCTTTTCCATTTTCTCTAAGGGATTGTGTAGAATTAGTGTTATTTCTTCTTTAAATGTTTTTGAATCCATCTGAACCTGGAGATTTCTTTCTAAAAGATTTTACGCCGGGCACGGTGGCTCGTGCCTATAATCCCAGCACGTTGGGAGGCTGAGGCAGGTGGATCACCTGAGGTCAGGAGTTTGAGACCAGCCTGGCTAACATGGTGAAACCCCGTTTCTACTAAAAATACAAAAAATTAGTCGAGCTTGGTGGCGTGCGCCTGTAATCCCAGCTACTCAGGAGGCTAAGGCAGGAGAATCACTTGAACCTGGGAGGCAGAGATTGCAGAGAGCTGAGATTGCACCAATGCACTCCAGCCTGGGTGACAGAGTGAGACTCCGGCTCAAAAAAAAAAAAAAAATTTTTACAAATTCAATTTATTTAACAGATACAGAACTATTCAGGTAACCTGTTTGTTTCTAGGAGGATTTTCCTGGTTTGTGGCACTCGGACATTGCTTTATTTCATCTAAGTTGTCTGATTTTTAAGTGTCAAGTTTTCCTTAGTGTTCTCTTGCTAACCGTCTGAAGTCTGTGGGGCCTGCAGTGATGTCCCTTCATTCATTCCTGATACTGATAATTTGTATCTTTTCTGTTTTTTTCTTTGTCAGTTTTCCTAGAGTTTTTCAATTTTGTTGATCTTTTCAAAGAATGATCTTTAAGTTTCATTAATTTTTCCCTTCTTTTTTTGCTTTCAATCTCATTAGTTTCTGCTTTTATCTTGGCATTTGTTCCTTTGGCTTGTTTTGCGTTCACTTTGCTCTTTTTCTGGTTTCTTAAGGTGGAAACTTAGATTGCTGATTTAGACCTATCTTTTCTGTAATATATAATGATTTGATGCTATAAATTTTCCTCTAAGCAGTGCTTTAATTAAACCCACAAATTTTGGTGCATTTTCATTTATGTTCAAAATATTTTCTAATTTCTTTTGAGAATTGTTCTTTGACCCATGGATGATGATGATGATTATTATTATTATTATTTTTCTTCAATACGGAGTTTCACTGTTGTTGCCCAGGCTGGAGTGCAATGACATGATCTCGGCTCACTGCAACCTCTGTCTCCTGGGTTCAAGCGATTCTCCTGCCTCAGCCTCCTGATTAGCTGGGACTACGGGCACCCGCCACCATGCCCGGCTAATTGTTTTGTATTTTCAGTAGAGATGGGGTTTCTCCATGTTGGCCAGGCTGATCTTCAACTCCTGGCCTCAGGTGATCCCCCCAACTTGGCCTCCCACAGTGTTGGGATTACACGCGTGAGCCAGTGCGCCCGGCCTGACCCATGGATTATTAAGTATGTTGTTTTATTTTGAAGTGTTTGCAGATTGTTTTGTTAATGATTTCTAGTTTAATACCATTGTGATTGGAGAACAAACTGCATATGATTTCATTTCTTTTAAATTTGTTAAGATTTATGTGTCAGGTTATGTTCTCAGTGAACATTCTGTATGTGCTTAAAAAGTATATGTATGGTCTGTATATGTATGGTCTGTATATACATATATGTATACATATATGTGTAAAAAGTATATGTATGGTCTGTATGTGCTTAAAAAGTATATGTATGGTCCAGCACTTTGGGAGGCCAAGGCAGGCAGATCACAAGGTCAGGAGATCGAGACCATCCTGGCTAACAGGGTGAAACTCCGTCTCTACTAAAAATACAAAAAAAATTACCCGGGCATGATGGCGGGCGCCTGTAGTCCCAGCTACTTGGGAGGCTGAGGCAGGAGACTGGCTTGAGCCTGGGAAGCAGAGCTTGCAGTGAACTGAGATCGTGCGACTGCACTCCAGCCTGGGCGACAGAGCTAGACTCCATCTCAAAAAAAATAAAATTTAAAAAAAGTATATGTAAAGTGTATGTATGGCCGGGCACGGTGGCTCACGCCTGTAATCCCAGCACTTTGGGAGGCCAAGGCAGGTGGATCACGAGGTCAGGAGATCAAGACCATCCTGGCTGACATGGTGAAACCCCATCTCCACTAAAAATAAAAATTAAAAAAATAATAATAATTAGCCAGGCGTGGTGGTGAGCACCTGTAGTCCCAGCTACTCAGGAGGCTGAGGTAGGAGAATGGCGTGAACCCAGGAGGCACAGCTTGCAGTGGGCTGAGATCCCGCCACTGCACTCTAGCCTGGGCGACAGAGCGAGACTCTGTCTCAAAAAAAAAAAAAAAAAGTATATGTATTTTGCTGTTGTTGGGTGAAGTGTTCTATAAATTAGATCCAGTTTATTGAAGGTGTTCTACAGTTCTCCTAGATTTTTGCCGATTACTTGTTCTCTCACTATGAAAGGTATTGTGTGTGTTATATGTGTCTAACAATTCATTTTCTAGTTAGAGTTGCTATTATACCACTTCAAGTGGATGGAGAGCCTCACTGCCATCCATTAATGTGCATTAATCATTTTGAGAGTGAAAAGATTTTTTAAAATGTTTTTACTTTTTTAGGTATGGCCAAGTGAGATGGGGCTAGTGAAATGGGTGGGAGAATTGGAAGCTGATAGTGTGTGAGCTAGACACCCATGAATGCTTTTCCACTGGGCAGTTAGAGGGATGATAGGTAATAATATAAGGCAGCTCCATCACACAAGCTGGTGACTCCTGTGCGACAGACCAAGAGCTGCATTTGGAGATTCATTTCCGATTGTTGCGTTTCCTCTTAGAGCATTGCTTGGTCATCGTGTTCTGAGTGGTCCATTGGCCTCCATGTCCCTTTTGGGGTGGATATTTGCTCAGTGACTTTTGAGCAGCTGGATCTCCTGCTTCGGCAGGTGAGTGAGGGGATGGATGGCTCCGCGGACTGGCCCCCGCCCCAGGAGAAAGAGTGCGTGGCCGTGGCAACGCTGAATCTTCCCCGACTTCAGGTATTCGTGATTTCCCTTCCTCTTGCTCCTTTTATAAGTGTCTTAGCGATTTGTAAGAAGGTTTATGTATTCTGAAGGACATAGGTTTTAGCCTGTTGGGGGAAGTATTTTAAAGTAAGATTGTAATGCACTAATAATGGACGCAAGGCTTAAAAAACTTGATCTGTTTATTTTATGTTTGTCCTGGAAGTCAGCCTCGGCATGCAGGAAGAGTGTATATGGATTGTGTTATTTTTGCTATAATCATTAGTTTGTTGGTATTCTTACTGTTTTACTGTTGTTGCGTGTGGAGAAATGACTGGGTGAGATCACAGGTGATGGAGAGAGACAGAGCTCAGCTGAGAGACCAGTGCTGGCCTGTCTCTCCTCTGTCCTGTGAAAACCCTGCTCCAGGAGGGTCCAGTCTTTTGGTTTCCCTGGGCCACACTGGAAGAAGAATTGTCTTGGGCTACACATAAAATACACTTATGATAGCTGATGAGCTTAAAAAAAAAATCCCAAAAATATCTCATGATGTTTTAAGAAATTTTACTTTGGGCCACATTCAAAGCTGCCCTGGGCCACATGCTGCCCTCGGGCCGTGGGTTGAACAAGCTTGATCTACTCAATAAGCTCGGCTCCCAAAGCAATACCTTCCTTTCCTCACCATGAAGGCTGTGGTTAGGGTCACAATAAAAGCTACAAAAGCCTTCCTCCCTAGCAAAACTAAAGCTGAAGTGTTTGATCATCATCTTTTGTCTTTGTAATAAAACCCTCTAACTTAATGACAAGAACCACGGTTTTCTCGACATAGTAATTTTTCCCTTTTATTACAGTGGTTTCTTGTAACAACCCGTCATGTCCCTCTTCCAGCCCCTCCCCTTTTTGCCCTGCTTCTAGAATGTACAGAACTGAGTGTAGTGTTTAGTTGCAGTAATGAACTGAGCAGAGGTCTGGAGCATGCTTCTCCTCTAGTCCTCTGTAGCACTCATTTATCACCATACCTGTGGCATCCTGGCGTTTGCGTGGTTGCGCCCCAGGTGTTTGCTGCCCCTCCTGGTTTGCGGTGATGTGTCTGTTCTGGTCAGTGCTGTGGGGCGTGGCCTTGCGTATGTCTTAGGCTGTCGAGGTGTCCCAGCGTATGGTTTTGCATTTGCCTCTCCGGGGTCCTGAGGGTTCTGTAGGTTTCACAGACTCCAGGTGAGTTTCGGTGGTCATTTCCTGACCTGTGATATCTATACCTAGATGAGTGGTGTGCTTTTGATTTCACTTCTACTTACAGGGCAAGGCCGGGTCTCTGATTTCTCATGGGGCCTCTTGCTACCCAGAGCCTGGGACGGGCAGTGTGTTGCCCCCTGGCTGCGGTTGGCTGGCAGGCAGGTGATCCTGAGTGGCTCCCAGCCTTCTGCAGGAAGCTCGGGTTCAGTGGGTCCTTGTGTGCATTCCCGTGTGGGAGGTTGTGCTGAAGCCTGGCGGCTTGGCTCTGCTTTCAGAGCCCGGAACCTCTTGACTCCTGCTGTGTGTGCCCATGTGAATTTTGGTTTTGCACTTGAGGAGTTTCCCTGTGTACTCTCAGCTCCGCAGTCTAATTTTTAGCAGCTCTTTTTTTTTTTTAGACAGGGTGTCACTTTGTCACCCAGGCTGGAATGCAGTGGTACAGTCTTGGCCTGCCAGGTTCCAGTGATTCTCCTGCCTCAGCCTCCCAAGTAGCTGGGACTACAGGTGTGTACCATCACACCCGGCTGATTTTTTTATAGAGATGGGGTTTCATCATGTTGGCCAGGCTGATCTTGAACTCCTGATCTCAAGTGAGCTTTCCACGTCGGCCTCCCAAAGTGCTGGGATGACAGGCATGAGCCACCGCCTGTGGCAGCTTTTGTGGTTACATTGTAGCCATTATTTCTGTGTTTGGTGCAGATTGTTGGGGCGGGGTGGAGGTTGCTGTTGCTAGTTGTTTAGCTCTTCTGCTCATCTTGAGCTTTTCCATATATGTGTTCATAGTGGGGTTAAAAAAAATTCCTCTAGAAAATACTTCAACTATTGTGGGTAAGAGTTTTTTTAGTCCAGTTTTTAAAAATACGTAAACTGAGAAGTTATTTTGTCTATTTAAATAATACTTCAAATTGACTTTTATTCAGTGTTTAATAAGACTTTGAAATTCACTCATTTTTAGGGGTTCTAAGTGAAAATTGTTTTTCTCCTTTCAGTTGCATGCTGCCATTAGTCACCAGGTTGACCTGGAATTCCTTGGTTTAGGTCTGGGCAGCGTCTTCCTGAACAGCCTGAAGCAGAAGGTGGTGACCCTGGCAAGCAGCGCAGACGTGCTGAGCACCGTGCAGTCGGCCTCCCAGGCCATGCTGCAGAGCGGCTGGTCCATGCTGTTGCCCACCGCTGAGAAGCAGGCCCGGGCACTCTGCTCTCCTGTCCTGTGGAGGTGGGCTCGGGGAAGGAACAGGAGAGGGCATGGGTCAGGGTGCTGGGAGGGGATGGCGTTTCACTCAAATTGGCACAGACTTTCTATTTCAGTTTCAGGCAATGAAGTGAACATAAGTCCAGGTCATCGATTGGTGATTGATCTTCTGGTGGGCAGCTTGATGGCTGATGGAGGGTTGGAGTCAGCCTTACACGCAGCCATTACTGCAGAGATCCAGGTATGGCCTTGGAGGCACACGTGACCTGGTGGTGGGCTGAGATCGGAAATACCACACTCACACATGTGAAGAATAACTGAAAACAGTAAAACACTAAACTTATATCCAAGTATTTTTTTAAATTAAAATTCTTTTATGTGCTAATTTTAAAAATTATTGAGATGATTTGTGATAAAATACTGCATGTTGTCTGTTTCAGTGAAGTTAACAGGTAACCTGTTCCTCATGTAGACCATTCCCGTCACCCGGAAAGATCCCTGTGCTCCTTGGCACTTGCAGCCAGGATACTCCCCTGCCCTGAGATTAGATTCATTTTTCCTGCTCTGAGTGTCGCAGCAATATAACTGTATAGTATGCACTCTTTCCTGCTTTGCCTTGGAGAATGATTTTCAGATTCACTCACTGTTGTGTGTATTGCGACTTCGTTTTTATTATTGGGAAGTTTTCCATTTTATAGGTGTAGTACTGTTTGTTAGTTCATTCTCCTATTGAAGGACATGTAATTGTTTTTGGTTTTTGTTTTCTTTTTTTTTTTTTTTTTTTGAGACAGGGTCTTGCTCTGTCACCCAGGCTGTATACAGTGACCTGATGTTGGCTCACTGCAGCCTTGTCCTCCTAGGCTCAAATGATCCTCCCACCTCAGCCTCCTGTGTTGCAGGGACCACATACATGTCACCATGCCCGGCTAGTTTTTTGATTTTTTTGTAGAGACAAGGTTTCACTGTGTTGCAAGGCTGGTCTTCAACTCCTGGGCTCCAGTGATCCCCCCACCTTGGCCTCCCAAAGTGTTGGGATTACAAGCGTGAGCCACCGCGCCCAGGCTTTCTGGTTTTTGGCCGTGTAGAGCTGCCACAATTGTGCTGTGAACAAGTACTTTAGTGAACATATGTTCTCCCTTTGGATAAACACTTGGAGTGGAATTTGTTAGGTCCTGGGGTAAGTGTGTGTTCATAGTTTCCCAAAGTGGCTTTGCCATTTGCATTTGAACCAGGACTTTTGTGTGTGAGAATTCTAGCTCCTTCTTGTCCTTACAGAGCAGCTGGATGCTGCGTGTGTGGAGCCGATCACATTGGGTTTTGTGTGAGCCATTAGCAGGGTTAAGGATTTTAGGGACTTCACAGAAGGAGGCTGGAGAGCATCAGCAGAGGCAGCCTGGACCTTGGATCTGTAAAAAGAAGACACTGTTTGAAACTGCACAAATGAGTTGGGGTTTCCAACAGGGCAGGTGGGGGGCCTGTGGGTGGATGGGTGTGGCAGCCACAGAGGCTGGGATAGCTTGGCACTGGGGTCAGGGCTCAGCCAGCCTGTGTGCCTTCACACCTGGTAATGAGATCACTTGTAAACAATTTCTGTTTATCAATTACAGGATACAAAAAAAGAAGCACGGAAGGAAAAAGAAATTTATGAACAGGAAGCAAATGCCTCAACATTTCATAGAAGGAGGACTCCATTGGATAAAGACCTTATTAATACGGGGATCTGTGAGTCTTCTGGCAAACAGTGTTTGCCTCTGGTTCAGCTCATACAACAGCTTCTTAGGTAAATCATATTAGCTGTATTGTATTGTGTTTTATTTATTTACTTTTTTTTTTTTGAGACAGAGTTTCGCTCTTGTTGCCCAGGCCGGAGTGCAGTGGTGCGATCTTGACTCACTGCAACCTCCGCCTCCCAGGTTCAAGTAATTCCTCTGCCTCAGCCTCTCGAGCAGCTGGGATTACAGGCATGCGCCACCATGCCCCACTAATTTTGTAGTTTTATTAGAGACAGGGTTTCTTCATGTTGGTCAGGCTGGTCTTGAACTCCCGACCTCAGGTGGTCCATCCACTTTGGCCTCCCAAAATGTTGGGATTACAGGCATTAGCCACCACGCCTGGCCTATTTATTTACTTATTAATGGTGTTTTTTGTTTTTTGTTTTTTTTTTGAGATGGAGTCTTGCTCTATCGTCCAGGCTGGAGTGCAGTGTCACGATCTTGGCTCACTGCAACCCCCGCCTCCTGGGTTCAAGCTATTCTCCTGCCTCAGCCTCCCGAGTAGCTGGGACTACAGGCGTCTGCAACCACACCTGGCTGATTTGTGTATTTTTAGTAGAGATGGGGTTTTACCATATTGGTCAGGCTGGTCTCAAATTCCTGACGTCAGGTGACCCACCTGCCTTGGCCTCTCAAAATGTTGGGATTACAGGTGTTAGCCACTGTTCCCGGCCTGTATTGTATTTTAATAGGTGATTATTGGTTTTCATATTAAGATAGTGAAATCTAGCGCAAGGGTCTCAAAAATTTGTTTGATGATTGAAGGAATATTCTGAAAATTACCTAGTATAGATGTTAGGATAAAGAGCAGACCCTTCTCAATATAGGTGAGAGGAGAAGTTGGAGGGTGTGATGATACTCAGAAGTTTTTCACAGAAGAGAAATTGGGGCGTGCAGTAAACATGTAAAAAGATTCTTACTAATAAGCAGGTAGGTGCGAATGAAAATCATCATGGAAGGTTATTTTTAAAACTGGTTCTATCATTGCCTCACTTTACATATTACAGAGTTGTACCTACTACTTTGTAAGATAACTTTTCTTTTCAAAACTGAAGTCAATGTGATAGAATGGTGAGCATTATTTTGGAAGGCCAGACTAGGAGGAGGTGGGAGGAGGAAGTCAGACTCAGCCTGTGAACAGACGCTAACCTTGGCAGAAGCCAAAACAGTCAGACAGTGTTGTGTAAAAATGATCATTCAAGAAGAGCGAAACAGCAAGGTGATTTGTGAAAGAGATTTATTAGAAAATGAAACACATTTATACCTCTGTTCAATAAAAATCTGCTTTTCGTCAACTGATGCTCCTGGTTTTTGTTTCTACACATAGAGAAAGCAGAGCCCTGGCAGCTTGGGTCAGGCAGCCGAGTACAGACCAGGGAGCCCTGGGCAGTGGCTGCAGCTCTCAGCTGGCCTGTTCATGGGGCCATGGTGGGTCTGTGGCGTGGGGTGGGCCCGTGGCGTGGGGTGGGCCCGCGGCGTGGGGTGGGCCCGCGGCGTGGGGTGGGCCCGCGGCATGGGGTGGGCCTGCTGTCCACAGCCAGCAAAACTAACTTAGTGCACACACAGTGAAATTTTGAAACAGGAAGTTTTAGAGCTAGTTTCTGTCATAGATTTTAGTAAATGCTATTTTGCAAAACCTTTTTCTGATGTTTGTTTTGTTTTTCTAATCTGATAATGCATATTTCACACATTCTGGTCTTTAACAAATGGAAATAAAGAGAACTAAACAATATAGTTTGTGTCGATGGAAAGAGCTTGGGATTTGTTCTCAGAAAATTTCAGTTACAACAGTTTGTTCATATAGGTGGACTTCCAACACAGTAACTATAGGAGTAAGAATAAAAGCTGTGTTTACTTTCACAGAGTTAATTAAGAATACATGAGAAAATGGATGTTAAAAACCTTGTAATTAAAATGTACAGTTACATGCAAAGTTTTAAAGTGAGCATTTTCCAGAGGTGCTTTTCTAAGTTCTTGAATGCCTCTCCCTTTTCTGAAGTGGCTGCTTCGTGGGGCTGTTGGTCTTTGGCAGGGGGTGAGTGCAGGGTTCCTGTTGTGGGTCCTTTGTTCTCACGAGGGCAGTGCCCGTTTTCCCCGTCTCCTGCTTGCCCAGACTGTTCCCGTGCGCAGAGAGACTGGCCTGTTTGACCTGCAGCTGTGCTGTTTGAGCTGCAGCTGTGTAGCCTGCGCTGGCCCATCTGGCTACACTCAACACCGTTTGCTGATCAGCACTTGAAGTCTGTCCGTCATAGCTGAGACACTGAATATTTTATCTGTTTAATTTTTATTCATTAAAATGCAGGTTTGAAAATTTGATTCTGTTATTAGAAAGCACTTAAGTATGTTTAGAATCACTTGGCCTTGGGAGTCTACTTTGTCAACTGTGTATTTTATGAGTCTAAATGGAGATCAGATGTTTTCAATGCAAATTTCACTGTCCAAATTGAAATGTGTTACATATGTAAGCTACTCAGATGGTTTTTGAGGACTTAATATGAAATAACCTATGTAAAATATCTCAATAATTTTTCTTAGATTGATTTCATGTTGAAATGGTCATATTTTTGATCTGTTGGAATAACTATGATACATTATTAAAATTATTTTTATTTTTTAAGATGGAATCTTACTCTGTTGACCAGACCGGAGTGCAGTGGTGCAATCTTGGCTCACTGCAACCTCCGCCTCTTGGGTTCAAGTGATTCTCCTGCCTCAGCCTCCTGAGCAGCTGGGACTACAGGACTACAGACTCCCGAGCAGCTGGGACTACCACCACGCCTGGCTGATTTTTGTATTTTTGTAGAGACAGAGTTTCACCATGTTGGCCAGGCTGGTCTCGAACTCCTGACCTCAAGTAATCTGCCCGCTTTGGCTTCCCAGAGTGCTGGGATTACAGGCATGAGCCACTGCAACCAGCCATTATTACAATTAATTTTATGTGTTGTTGTTTTTCTTGTTGGTGTTTTTTGTTTTTTTTTTTTACTTTTGTTAATGTGACTAAGAACAATTTTTTTTCCCCACCCGGAGATGGATCCTCACTCTGTTGCCTGGACTGGAGTGCAGTAGCACGATCTCAGCTCACTGCAGCCTCTGCCTCCTGGGTTCAAATGATTCTCCTGCCTCAACCTCCTGAGTGGCTGGGACTAACAGAAGCATGCCACCATACCTGGCTGATTTTTGTATTTTTAGTAGAGATGGGGTTTCACCATGTTGGCCAGGACGGTCTTGAACTCCCAAACTCAGGTAATCTGCCCACCTCAGCCTCCCAAAGTGTTGGGATTACCGGCGTGAGCCACCGCACCTGGCCATGTTTATTAATACGACTAAGAACATTCTGAATTGCACCTGTGGCTCCATTGGTGTCCTGGGCAGGTGGCTCTGTGCTGTCCACACAGGTTGTCTCCTGTGTCTTCGTCTTCGCTGCGTGTGACTTTTTGGTTCCTGTGGCACGTGGGGTCCTGTATGGGACATTGGTTCTACAGCAGATTTATAGTAAGGATGTACCTACTAAAAAATACAAAATAGAAAGAATAGACACAAACATAGAAATAAGTATCACCTCACAAAAATTTTGGAAAGTAGAAAAAGAAAAATGCATTCGCAGCTTTCCAGTAGCCGATATCCAGGCTGTCTTCATAAGCATGGATCATGTGTCCCTCTCCCGCATGGGTAGACACTGTTTTCTCACCTTAAGTGTTTGTGAGTGAAGGATTCTTGATGTGTTGACTTGGCAGATGCAGTTGTTGAACAGTAGTTTATCTAAAGATCGTAAGAGACTTTTGGAGACATTTCACGTCCTTTTTTCCCTTGGAAAACGTGAGTTGGAGAAATCGCTGCTTGCCAAAAATAAGCCGTGAAACGTATTTCAGAGTAGATCGTTATTTACTTGCTGGCGAGGAGCCACAGAATACCATTTACATTTGAAAATAGAGCGCTGCAAAGTTTTTATAAGTAGTGAATCCCATCAGAATTACACATTTTGATTATGGCTCTAAATTTTATATTAAATAAACTAAAAATTTCATTGTATTGTATTACCGTCTCTTGCTCCTTCAGGTGTAGCATACATGCTAGATTCTAGACCTGTTTCTTGTGTTACAGTGGTGTTATCCAGGCAGGGTATCATGTAGTGAAGGTGATGTCTGGTGGTGGTGAGCCCAGTGAAGGCGCATCCTTGCCGTGTGTGATGAGGGCCTGTGGGTTGCTATGGGATTCCCCAACCCTGGCTCCTCTGTCTCCTGCTTCTGTCCTTACTCATGCTGCTGGTAGTTTTCTGGTGTGAGACACGGGGGCAAGTGGGATTGACAAGCCTGCTGTCACATTAGGAACCTGAGTTAAAGTGGAGCTGAAAGCATGTCCTCGCTCTTGATGTTGTGCAGAGAGCCACCTGTGCTCCTGGCTCAACGGGGCAGGTGTGGTGGGTCTGGAACCAGGCCCTGGTTTGGCTCTCCTCCCCTCCATGTTCCCCTGTCCTGTCTGATTTGCTTCACACTGACATAAGAGTTACTTTCCCTCGGCCTCCCAAAGTGCTGGTATTACAGGCATTAGCCACCGCGCCCAGCTAGCATCCTTTCAAGTACTGGGGTACACCCAAGCTCCCAGCTTCTAGCTAGGAGTCATTTTGTCCCTCTTTATCCCAAAGGACTTGCCACCATCTTTGGTTCCCAAAGCCCAGGAGGGTCCAGGCTCTTCAGCCTCCAACCACTTTGCATTTCTTGTCTGCTTTTCGTTCATGGAGATAATTAACTTATTTTTCAGCCTGGGCATGTCTTTTTTATTTACTTTATTTTTTATTTTTATTTTTTGAGATGGAGTCTCACTCTGTCGCCCAGGCTGGAATGCAGTGGCGGGATCTCATTTCACTGCAGCCTCTGCCTCCCGGGTTCAAGTGATTCTCCTGCCTCAGCCTCCTGAGTAGCTGGGACTACAGGTGTGCACCACTATGCCCAGCTAATTTTTACATTTTTAGTAGAGACAGGGTGTCGCCATATTGGCCAGGCTGGTCTCGAACTCCTGGCTTCAAGTGATCCTCCTGCCTCAGCCTCCCAGAGTGCTGGGATTACAGGCACGACCACCGCACCCAGCCTTTATTTACTTTGTATATCTCATCTATTACTGCTGCAGTTTGCAGAAGAGAGGATGCCCTCAAACCTAACTTCTCCAAACCATCCCAAATGGGAAGTCTGCTCCACGTCAACAGCATTGTTGCTTTTAAAGACTATACGTCAACATGGCAGATTATAGCAAAAGGATGTCGAGGGAGCAATAGGAAAGCAAGCCTGAGAGTCCTGGAGAGAAGGTGGCAGAGCTGCCTTTTGAAGGTGGTTCCTTCCTCAGACCCTGCCCTTCCTGCCTTGTTCCTCCAGTTGCCAGATTTGCTGTTGGAGCTCCTCCACGGGCGAAGAGGTGAGGCTGGACTGAGAGGGAGATGGAGAAGCTGCCAGAGATTCTTTTGGATCTAGAATTGAGACAGCAGTTCCAGCCAGGTCCAGAGGTGGGGGCTGTCACCCAGCCCCCAGGGGAATGGTACTGATTGCAGAATGTGGCGAGAACTCCCTGGCTGGGAGAGGGAGGTGCTTGCTCCCTTGAATCACCTGAGCTCAGGCTGGAAGGCCCAAGGGGGAGGACGAGGCCAGCTCACTCCAGCTCCATCCCCTCCCTTTAACCCTAAGCTAGTTAACCCTCCCAGACTCCAGTCCTTTTTCCTAAGTGCCCTCCCTGCAAAGTCTGCACCGAGCAGCGCTCCCTCGCACCAGCTCACCCTGCACTGTCTTGTCTTTCAGCAACCCCATGGGTTTGAACTTGAGACGATTCATTTTCCTAAAAGCCTCTTTGGGCTGAGGGAAGGCATGGGTGGCTCTGCCAGTTTTGGAGTGGGGGCCGACTCTTCTCAGAGCCGCTGCAAGGGCCAGGGCCACCCTCCCAGGCGGGTGTCTCCGGGCTGGGCAGCAGCTTTGTAGGCAGCCTGGGTCATCCCCACTGGTCTGGGAAGCTGGGGGTGCACCGGCTCCTGCTCCTGATAGGGCCAAGGCACCTTCCTTACCTAAGAGCTGACTTTCTTGAAGAGTGGGCACAGAGGAGCCGGCAACCTGGGCTGTGTAGGCACCCAGGAGAAAATCTGCAGCTCAGTATCAGAAGTCTCCACCAGCACGGCTGTTGCAGAGATGGGGAAACTGGGCTGAGAGGGAAGGGGGCTTCCCCAAATCACCAGCCCTGGAATGTTTGGAGCTTTGGGGGTGGATCTCCCAGGAAACGTGTTTTTATGGCACCACCGCCTCTGGTCACCCACCCCGAGGTGTGGCGGGCCTGGACAGCCAGCTTGACTGAGGGCCAGGCTGGTGAAGTCAAAACTACCACTCAGGAAGAAGACCTAGCCCTTCTCCAGACAGAGTTCAAATGTGAGGGCTGCCTTCTTTGGGCCTCAAATTCCCCACGTGAATTCCAAGGACCCCTCTAGCTCCTACACTCTGGGCCAAGGTTTCCTCTGAGCCGCAGTCAGCCTAGAGGACCTAGGATACATCTTCCTTGGACAGAGACCCACCATAGGGGCAGCAGGAGGTAGGGGTGGGGGTAGGCAAGATTCCTGTGGGGAGGTGGAGCTGTCATCAGAGATGGTGTCTGCAGGCAGTGGGTGTATCGTGGCTCTGCTACTACTTGCTGGGTGGCCCCATGACGTTTCTTTCCCCACTCTGACCTCAGTTTCCCTATCTGTTCTGTGGAGATAAGATGCCTGCCTACATATTTGTGGACTGGGATGTGTGTGGGCCAGTTGCAGTGTTTCTTGGTGTGGTCCTGGGGCAGGCTGCACCACCCCATAGAGATTTCTGGGCCCCACCCTAGGCTCACAGGACCAGAATCTCTGGGAATGAAGCCTGGGAATTTGCATTTCCACAGGCATCTGGCTGATTCTGACATGACTGAAAAGCACTAATAGTATATAGCAAGCTCTTTATAAAAGGTAAATTCATAGCTGCCTTTTACTAAACATAAATCTCACCTTCCCTTCCTCAGTTAAGGACACACACTGCAGTTGAAAATCACTGTGCCTTTCCAGATGCAGAGTCTGACCTTTCCGATAAGATTCTGTTAACTGCTGCTTTCTGCAGTTTGTATTCCAAAACAAGGGGAATATGTTTCCATTTTTTCAATACAAATGTTTAAGTCGGATATGCTTTCTCAAACTGGACACACACTCACACAGCTTAGGGTTTCAGCTATGGCTTCCTCTCAAATTATTAGCCTCTTTCTGCCAGGGAGCAGTTTTTCCCAGACAAGACCCTGGACAGAGGTTGGTGGGGCCCTCCTCATCAGAATCACTAGATTATGACTGACCCCTAGAGGTGGCTTTTCTGCTTAAGTGTCAGCCCATGGGCTGGGTTGTGACCCCCAAAGCTGCGGCAGAAGCTTCCACCCATCCTGGGTCCCCCCTGCCATCTATGGGGAAAGGCCTGTCCCTTGTCTTCTGGGCCCAGCCGGCCTCACAGGCATTCAGCAGATTGGAAAGTCGAAGCATGTGCTGTGCTTGGCTGGGCTCTGCTGTGCCCCTTTTTGGGGTGAGGTGGAGTGCATCCAGCCCCCAGCATCCCTGCCGTTTATTCCCACCCCTCATCCCCACCCCCATACACACTCACAAGTACAAACACAAGCACAGTCACTGGCACACACCACTCTGGACAGCACCATTTCCAGCCTCAGCGGGGCAGTTTCCTTACAGGGAAGTTAATGAGGCACTAACGAAGGCTCAGGGGACAGGGGGAACCTCTATCGAGAAGAGGCTCCTAGACCTGGTTCTGCCTCTGAATTGCTGGGGGTCCTTGAG
Organism: Homo sapiens; assembly: GCF_000001405.40. NCBI lineage: Eukaryota > Metazoa > Chordata > Mammalia > Primates > Hominidae > Homo > Homo sapiens. The sequence continues at coordinate 266,797 of NW_003315943.1, read as the reverse complement.
AAAGTTGCTATCCCTCTCTGGTCTCAGTTTCCTCAGGTGAGAAATGGGGGGCCGGCCAAATGGTCTAAGGTTCTGGGAACCTCTAAATCAGAGCCCGTAGCTGGTGGTCAAGATGAGGGAGAGGCCCTCAGGGTCAGCCGAATGCCTGAGAGGCAGGACAGGCCCAAAGGTGAGCAACGTGAGCACATCAGGTGGGCTCAGAGCTGGCGCATGAGCCCCACAGCCTGCAGAGCAGCCCTGTACTCGGGAGCCCGCTCACACCCACCCAGTGGGACTTCAGAGATGTGGGGTCCAGCCTTTCCTACTATTGCTGGGCTGAGGGCTGGGAGCTGCAGATTCTGACCCCACAGCTGCCTTAGACATGCCAGATGGTCTGGGGCAAGACACACCCCTCTCTATGAAATGAGCAGCCAGTCCAAATAGGTACATTAGAGAAGGGCTGTGGGATGGACCCAGCTGTAGCCTGGGGCTACAGACTGGCTTCCGGGGTACTCAAGCAGCTGGCCTCTGGGGTAGCAGCCCCAGGTATGAGAGGCAGGACTCAGAATCTAGGCCAAGCCTCCATAGGAATCCCCTCTGGAGAGCCCGGGCACTCTGCAGGAGGGGCAGCAGGCAGCAGGTGCACCAGGAGCATGTTTCACAAGGTGCCCAATATCGCATCTGCTCAGATAGGCAGCGAGTTGGAAAGTGGATGCAATAGGCAGGGTGGCGGCTGCTCCCCACAGCCAGGAGTCCGGCCCAGCACCCACCTGAGTCCGCCTCAGTCCTGCTCAATTGGGTTATCCGTGCTCTTGGCCCTCTGGTCCCACCCACAGAGGGAGGTCTTTGGGGCGACCAGGTGAGCTGGCCCTTGTGGGAGGATGTAACTGACTCCTGAGCCTGGCGAGCCAGGCAGCCCCTCGCCAACATCCCCACCCCTACCTCTCCAGCCCCCCCGCATTCCCTGATCCTCCCATCCGCTCCCCTGACCCAGCAGTTGCCTCTGCTCACTCTCTTTTCCTGCTCCCAGGCTCGCCTGGTCATGTGTCCTTCACTCTCCTCTGAGTCTCCCTCTTTCCAAGCCGCCTCCACTCTACTTGACACACTCTCCCTTAAGACACCAGAGTACACAAGCGCAAGTCCCTGCACCTCACCTTTACTCCCAGACATGGGAGGGAGATGACATGAAGACCCAAACGCCACTTAGCAGGAGATCTGGGGTATGCAGAGGGGCAGAACGGAGGCTGTGGAAGCTCCAGGGGCTCCCTGCAGGAGGCCACATGTAAGCTGGCTATTGAATGTGGCTCTGAGCTGAGACCTCTCCTTGAAGCTCCAGACCAGGAGCCAGCTGCTAGCTGGACCCCTCCATTTGGTGCCTCAGAGAAACTTTGCACTCTGTAGGTCTAACTTTGAACCCAGAAAATTCCCCCATGTCGGCCCTGTCTCTTCACAGGGAAAGCACCACCTCAGACCCAGTTCTGCACCAAACCCACATTTGAGTCACGAGGCTCCTGCCCTGCACTGTGAGCACTCTGGATAAGCCAGTGCTGAGGGGGAAAGAGCTCTGAATGCCAAGCCAAAACATGAGCTTCAACTCCACCTCCAGCTCTGAGAGCTGTGGGTAGGGAAGGGCCCAAGTCCAGTTTGCTGTAGAAAGACCAGTCTGCCACTGTATGGCACATGGATGGCACGGGCAGAGTGTGGGTGGAGAGAATAGAAGGTGGGCAGGGCGGGGGAGGCAGGGACATGGCTGTAGCCGTGGAGATGGGAGGACAGACAGGACTTGGTGGCCACTTGGGTGAACCAAGGGAGGAGTCAGGAAGAGACACCCAGTTTTGTATCAGATGTGTAGAGCGTGGGATGCTGTTCATTGACGGAGGGAGGAGGAGGAGGAAGAGGTATGGCATGGGGAGGAGGTAGCTGAGCTCTGTCGTGAATGTCATTTGAAGTCCCCAGGGAGAGCCAGGCCGGCCAGCACCTTCAGTGCTTCAGCCAGCTCTCAGGGTGTCTGTGCTCCCTGGCCCTCTCAGCTCCTGCTTCATAGCTGTCAGCTGCAGTGGGAGACAGCTGCACAAGGGCCCAGCATGTCTGTGTGTTTACCCAGGGGACTGCCGCATGGCCCATGCCGAGCAGAAACTGATGGACGACCTTCTGAACAAAACCTGTTACAACAACCTGATCCGCCCAGCCACCAGCTCCTCACAGCTCATCTCCATCCAGACGGCGCTCTCCCTGGCCCAGTGCATCAGCGTGGTAGGTGCAGAGGGTACCTGTGGCTCAGGCTCAGGTGAAGAGGAAGCTCATGCCCAAGCCCTAAGCAGTCAATGTCCAGAGGAATGAAATGACTAGAGTTGACTTAGACTCACCGGTACACGGTGGGGAGGCTGGAGGAGGGTCCATGAGGTTTATAGGTGTCCAGTATTTAATGAGGTCATGGTTTTGTTAACAAAGAAGAAATGAGGGTGGGAGCGAGATCACCACTGGCTAGGCAGCCAATGGGCCTGCATAGACTCTGCTCAGCTGAGTCTCCAGCACGACCATGAGCTTCTCCTCCTCATCCTCCCAGCCCCACCCTACTCTCTCCCCCAGCTTGCTCAACAGGTGACCTTATAGGCTCCCTACTCTTTGCAGGGAATAAGAACCAGACTGGGGGAACTGACGGGTACAGAGGCCCAGGTGTAGGCGCAGGACCACAGGCAGTGAAGCGTCTACTGACCCAGGCGGGTGAGGGTCTGGAGAGTGGGCATGGCTGCTGCAGGCATGGAAAGCAGGCACAGATGGCGGCACTCCCAGGGCCCATTGTCAGGGTCTCCACATGTGGACATGTGCAGAGGTGGGGGTGCTGAGGGAGGAGGGGCAGGGAATTTCTCATCTTCTCTCTACTGCCTCTGAGTTGGAGATGTCAGAGGGAGCCATGGCCCACTGTAAAGTAACACAATGTCCCCACCCACAGGATTAGAACCCCTCCCCTGGAAGCAGCTCTGAGGGGAACAGTCACATGTAGAGAGTGCAGGGCACTGTGTCCAGCCGGGGGAAGGAGGTCACCAAGGGGGTTGACCCCCCTCTGGCCAGGTGGCTACCTTCTGACACACCAGCCTCTGTCTCTAGCACGGTGGCCCCCACACACCCAGCCTGTGAAACCTACAGCCCTCAAGAAGGCTTTGGCCAAATTAATGAGCGGCTCCCTCTCCCAGGAGGAAGCACGGGTGAAGGATGTGGAGGGCAGTAGAGTTGTGTGTGCTCCGCCCCCTTTCTCCACAGTCGGATGGAAAGAAGGGGGCTTTCAGCCAGGCTCGCCCAGCCTGGGGTCTGAGTGTCACTGTCCAGCTATTGGCTTCTTGCTTAATGGGTGAGCCCAGCTGCTCCCGTGCAGCTGCCGCCCTAGTGAGGGTGAACCGGCAGGCGAGTTACATTTCTGAAAGCCTGGGAATACAGTAAATATTAGGCTGTGGGCTGCTGGGCCAGGAAGAGTTGTTTATTTTTCAGGGTTTGTTTATCTATTGACTTGATGAGGGAGGGTTATAGGTACAACCAGTTTAAAGATGGAAATTTTGAGAGAGCAGGCAGGGATTTAGTGCTGGGTAAGCCTGGTCAAAGCGGCTCTTTTGGGGCGGCCAGAATCCAGTACCAATGTCCTCAGCATGTTCATCAGCTGCTGGGGGAGTGCGGGACAGCATGAAAGCACAGGAGAACTTTCTGGATGATAGAAATACTCTGTATCTTCAAAGGAGGTGGGTTCCATAGTAATGTTAAATGAGTTAAAACTCATCAAAATGTAAACCAGACCTGTGCATTTCACTAATAGAAATTATACCTCCAATTAAAAACATGTTTTAAAAGACAGATGGGCCGGATGCAGTGGCTCATACTTGTAATCCCAGCACTTTGGGAGGCTGAGGCAGGTAGATCACCTGAGTCAGGAGCTCGAGACCAGCCTGGAAAACATGGTGAAATCCTGCCTCTATTAAAGGTATAAAAAAAAATTAGCCAGGCATGGTGGCACACGCTACTCGGGAAGCTGAGGCAGGAGAATTGCTTGAACCCAGGAGGCAGAGGTTACAGTGAGCAGAGATCGTGCCATTGCACTAGAGCCTGGGCAACAGCGCAAGACTCCATCTCAACAACAACAAAAAAAGGACAGATGAAGGTTTTCAACTTTCAATAAAGGCAGAGGAGCTTGTTACAGATTCGCCTCCCCGCAAGAGCAGTTAGAAAAACTGGATAAAAATGTGCCCCGCCCCCAATCAAAAACAATTGTTGGAAGGTAATTGGAGACCTCAGTCAGGACTTGAGTGACCAGGCCTAGGAGGTGATCCTGACAGTCTGTAGTGCTTTCCCACATTTGGTGATTGGTCAACAGTAGAGGGCTAAGAGGCTAAGAAACTGAGTATGAAGTGGTAGTTAAGAGGCTGGAGAGCCTAGCTGAATGTTTGGCACTCTCACAGGGCTGAAATGACCTAATGAGAATTTGGGTCCCAGGAGGGAGATGGGACCTTGGTGGGGACCCTGGAAGGGCCACCCCTGGGAGTCCAAATGAATAAAACATAGACCAGCCATCAGAAAACCTAAAACCTGCTTTGAACCAGCTTAGTCCCGAAGTAGATGAAGGCGATCTGCCCTTACTCCAATTGTGTGCCATAAACTCAAAGTCAATACTCTCTGGAGGCAGATAAAAGTTTACTATGAATGCCAAAAGACAACACAAGACTAAATGAGAAAGACCAAGAAGAAAACTAATAGAAACATACATGTAAGGAAGAAACTTTTTTTTTTGAGACGGAGTTTCGCTCTGTCACCCAGGCTTGAGTGCAGTGGCACGATCTCAGCTCACTGCAACCTCTGCCTCCCAGGTTCAAGCGATTCTCCTGCCTCAGCCTCCCAAGTAGCTGGGATTACAGGCATGCGCCACCATGCCCGGCTAATTTTTGTATTGGCCAGGCTGGTCTTGAACTCTTGACCTCAGGTCATCCATTTACCTCGGCCTCCCAAATTGCTAGGATTACAGGCGTGAGCTACCATGCCTGGCCAGTATTTTGCCACAATTTAAAATAAATAAAATTTTTTTTTCAGGTTTGTGCTCAGACTATATTCTAAACAGTCACATGGCGGCTTACTCTTCTCCAGGCCTTGCTGCCGGCTTTTACATGTTTATTGTCTTTGCCTTCTTGTCATGTGCTCATTAGATGGCAGCTTCCAGGTGCTCCTAAGGGGCCAGGAAAGAGAGTGAGAAGGCACGGAGGTTGCCAGATCATCCCCCTTGGGGCCCCGCCCTCATCAACTCCCTCAACCGGGTCTCCTGCAACTATCGGTGGGCCATCTCGGCCACCGCTTCGCCCTGAGCTTCCTGCTGCTGCAGCTGGGCAGTGCCTCCTTCTCAGAGGCCAGCTGCTGATAGGCGGCCACGTACTGCTGCAGGTGACCCAGGTAATGGTCTCGCTGCTGCTGCAGACTCAGCCTCTTGGCTCTTCAGCTCCACCTGCAGGATAGGCGTCAGGGTAGGTAGTGGCTGGCTTCCAGATTCTGGGCCCATAAACAGGGTAGTGAGGGCACTGCGGGGCTCTGTCGCCTACCCAGGCCCCTGGCCCTGGCCCCTTCCTCCAGGCCTAAATGACTGCCTCCCTTGCCTAGAGGCCCATGCCTCCCTCCCCAGCCTCAAATCTCACACCCTTCTTCCCACCATTTAAACTGTAGGCCACAGACTGGTGGAAAAGCAGAGGGAGCCAACCACCATCTGCTAAGTTGTGGTGAGGTCGTTCTGTATGATCTCCAGGGTTTGCACACACCTCCGCCTGCTCCCCCCAAGAGCTCGGCCTTCTGCCCCAGCTTCCCCAGCCTCTCCTCCAGCTCCTGCAGCCTCACCTAGTGTTCCTGCATCTTCTCCTCCTGCTGCCGCAGCCTCACTTCCTGCTCCCGCATCTTCTCCTCCTGCCTCCGCATCTTCTCCTCCTGTTCTTGCATCTTCTCTTCCTGCTCACACATCTTCTCCTCCTGCTCCCACATCTTCTCTTCCTGTTCCTGCATCATCTCCTCCTGCTCTCGTATCTTCTCCTCCTGCTCCCGTATCTTCTTCTCCTGCTCCCTTATCTTCTCCTCCTGCCTCCGCATCTTCTCCTCCTGTTCTTGCATCTTCGCTTCCTGCTCACACATCTTCCCCTCCTGCTCCCCCATCTTCTCTTCCTGTTCCTGCATCATCTCCTCCTGCTCTCGTATCTTCTCCTCCTGCTCCCGTATCTTCTTCTCCTGCTCCCTTATCTTCTCCTCCTGCCTCCGCATCTTCTCCTCCTGTTCTTGCATCTCCTCTTCCTGCTCCCACATCTTCTCCTCCTGCTCCCCCATCTTCTCTTCCTGTTCCTGCATCATCTCCTCCTGCTCTCGTATCTTCTCCTCCTGCTCCCATATCTTCTCCTCCTGCTCCCGTATCTTCTCCTTCTGCTCCCGTATCTTCTCCTCCTGCTCCCTTATCTTCTCCTCCTGCCTCCGCATCTTCTCCTGTTCTTGCATCTTCTCTTCCTGCTCCCCCATCTTCTCTTCCTGTTCCTGCATCATCTCCTCCTGCTCTCGTATCTTCTCCTCCTGCTCCCGTATCTTCTCCTGCTCCCGTATCTTCTCCTCCTGCTCCCTTATCTTCTCCTCCTGCTTCCACATCTTCTCCTCCTGCTCCTGCCTCTTTTCCTCCTGCTCCCGTATCTTCTCCTCCTGCCTCCACACCTTCTCCTCCTGCTCCCGTATCTTCTCCTCCTGCCTCCACATCTTATCCTCCTGCTCCTGCCTCTTCTCCTCCTCCCATATCTTCTCCTGCTCATGCATCTTCTCTTCCTCCCTCCACATCTCCTCCTGCTCCCGTATCTTCTCCTCCTGCCTCCACATCTTCTCCTCCTGCTCCCGTATCTTCTCCTCCTGCCTCCACACCTTCTCCTCCTGCTCCCGTATCTTCTCCTCCTGGTCGTGCATCTTCTCCTCCTGCCTCCACACCTTCTCCTCCTGCTTCCGTATCTTCTCCTCCTGCTCGTGCATCTTCTCCTTTTGCCTCCATATCTCCTCCTGCTCCCTTATCTTCTCCTCCTGCCTCCACATCTCCTCCTGCTCCTGCCTCTTCTCCTCCTCCCGTATCTTCTCCTGCTCGTGAATCTTCTCCTCCTGCCTCCACATCTTTTTCTCCTGCTCCCGTATCTTCTCTTCCTGCTCCCGTATCTTCTCCTCCTGCCTCCACATCTTCGCCTCCTGCTCCTGCCTCTTCTCCTGCTCGCGTATCTTCTCCTCCTCCTGCCTCTTCTCTTCCTGCTCCCGTATCTTCTCCTGCTCGTGCATCTTCTCTTCCAGCTCCCGTATCTTCTCCTCCTTCTCCCACATCATCTCCTCCTGCCTCCGCATCTTCTCCTCCTTCTCCCACATCATCTCCTCCTGCCTCCGCATCTTCTCCTCCTGCTCCCGTATCTTCTCCTCCTGCTCCTGTATCTTCTCCTCCCGCTCCTGTATCTTCTCCTCCTGCCTCCACATCTTCTCCTCCTGTTGCTGGTTCAGGCGGTTCCACAACTCGTTCTCTTCCACCTGGGCTTGGAGCTTTGCTGACACACTCTGCAGCTCCTTACCCAGGTGGTCAGCCTCCGCCTGCAGCTGCTGCTGGAATAGTGAAAGTGTTTTTTTGAACCTCAGAAGGAAGCAGAATCATGAGCTAGCCACATAAATGTAATCTATAGGCTGGGCGCGGTGGCTCACGCCTGTAATCCCAGCACTTTGGGAGGCCGAGGTGGGCGGATCACGAGGTCAGGAGATCGAGACCATCCTGGTTAACACAGTGAAACCCCGTCTCTACTAAAAATACAAAAAATTAGCTGGGTGTGGTGGTGGGCACCTGTAGTCCCAGCTACTTGGGAGGCTGAGGCAGGAGAATGGCGTGAAGCCGGGGGGTGGAGCTTGCAGTGAGCCGAGATTGCGCCACTGCACTCTGGCCTGGGTGACAGAGTGAGACTACTTCTCAAATAAATAAATAAATAAATAAATAAATAAATAAATAAATGTAATCTATAAAATAATGGTTTTCATCCATGATCCTTTAAAAAAATATTTTTAAGCCCTAACTCTTGAGATTCTGATTCCCCAGGCAGGGCCCCAATTTGTACATTTTTAGTACACTCTAGAGGATTCTATGGCGGGGCCAGAACAAGGACCCAAATTTTCCAGCTCTTGGCTGGAGCCTCCCCATACCCTGCATGATCCCTAGACCATGGTCCCAGCTGGATGGGTCTCCCACAACCCCCGGGGCTGCAGCTGCTCACCTGTGGCAGCAGGAGCTTGGCCCTCTCCAGTTTCCTTTTTAGCTCCTTTACGTTGAGCTGGATCTCAGACTTTTCAGATTCTACAAGTTGAAGTTTTTCTTGTAGTTTGGCATTTTTCTCCTTCAGCTCCTCATCAGTTATGCTATGGCCAGAGGCAGTAGAGAAAGGAATGAATGAAGAACATAAAAGACCACTTTGGTGATTGACCCCCTACCCTCGCCCCACAACCACAGAACCGTGGCGCTGGAAGGGACCCCAGGAATTAAAAGTCCCAGGTGGCAGGCCAGAGAGAAGACATGAGTTGCCTGAGGCTACCCCATGAGTCAGTGGCACAGCCAGCACTAGAGTTTCCGTGTGCACACATGAAAACATGTATGAGCCTCTCCCCACACTCACCTGGACCCCCCACCTCCCAGCACACCACCCATGCTAAGGGCCCCCAGACCTCCCATTCCACCTTCCCCCATCCTACGTGTTCCTGTACAGTTCCAGACTCAGGGCGTCCCTCTCCTTTGTTAACTCCTCAATGTACTGCAAATAGAGAAAGGTTAAGTCAGGATAGAGCAGGCACAGCAGTAGCTGGACGACCAGGAACAACTGCTACAGTGACTACTCCACAGTAACACTTCCTCACTCTCAATCACACCTGACGTGTTCTCAAGGCATTTCCAAGCCCATGGTCTCATTTGTTTTTCTTTCTTTCTTTCTTTTTTTTTTTTTGGCAGAGTTTCATTCTTGTTGCCCTCACTGGAGTGCAATGGCACAATCTCAGCTCACCACAACCTACACCTCCTGGGTTCAAGCAATTCTCCTGCCTCAGCTTCCCGAGTAGTTGGGATTACAGGCATGTGCCACCACACCGGGCTAATTTTGTATTTTTAGTAGAGACGGGGTTTCTTCGTGTTGGTCAGTCTAGTCTTGAACTCCTGACCGCAGGTGATCCGCCCACCTCAGCCTCCCAAAGTGCTGGCATTACAGGCGTGAGCGAGAGCACCTGGCCCTCATTTGTTTTTCAAAGAACTCAGTGGATGTGGAAGGGACAGGGAAAGAGATTGAATTTAGGGCTGGCTAACAGGGGCCCAGAGCGATCAGATAATATTGTTATTGTTATTACTGTTATTACTACCACTGTTGGAGCCTTTATTGGGTGCTTCACCAGGCACTATGCTAACAATCCCATTTAATCCTCACAACCTCCATAGGAGACGGTTACCATTATTACCTCTATTGTGTAGATGAAAAACATGCAGTATTAAAGGTTAAGTGCTGCCTAAGATCACTTGGAGCTGGGATTTCAACACCCAGGTATATCTGATTCTCTAAGCCCATTCTTCCGCTGGAGGTAGGGGCACAGTTAAGAAGGAGGAAATTAATCCTTTGTTGAATTTTTGAAAGGATGATACGTTCGCATAGTCCAAAACTCAGAAAGTCCAGAAGGGAAATATCTCCCCCCAACACTGTGCCTCTATCCTGAGTTTTTTAATGAATCCTTACAAACGTGTTTTATGTATGTTACCATAATACGTACACACACACACATATACACCTGCCCCCTCTCTCCACACAAATAATAACATACTCAAGATACTCTTCTGTACCTTTATGGTACAAGTACCCTAACCGCCACTTAGGACTTGGCCAAGGCCACAGCCAAGTATGGGCAGGGCGGGCACTTGGCCTCTGAGATCTATGTCCAGTGCTCGCTCCTCACAGTGCTCCCCAACTCACCCACAACAGCCGACTCAGCCCCAGTCTGCCTCTAACAACCACACACAAAAGCAGCAAGAAATGGCCATGCTGCCTTCTGGGCAGGACACTCCATCCTACAGAAGGGACCTTTAGGCTCACTCCTCCATCTGCGAAGCTGGGCTCCCAAGGGACGGGGCCGTGTTTGGACTCACCCTATCCGCCTTCTTCTTCTGTGTAGCGACAGCAGAGAGAGCCTGCTCTAACTCTCCTGCAAACTTCCATGAATCATGCAGGCGGCTGATCAGATCCCTGGCCTCTCCTGGAATGAGAGACATTCAGATGTGGCCCAAAGGACTCCCCCTAAAGGCCTGTCAAAGTGCCAGGTTGAAGGATGATGGGGTGCCAGATTCCCACCTTCCAACTGCTTGACAGCATGCTGGCTGTAGTAGAGTGCCATCTGAAGCTCAGTTTTCTGACATGTAAGGATTCGTATGGTATGAACCTGGGCCTTTGGGAGAAAAGACAAGCAAATGCTGAAAGAGAAGCAAAGAAACATTCTCCAGAGGGCAGGAGGGAACTTCACACCCTCCACTCACCTCTAGCTCCCTCCTTAGGGCTTCCTGATGTTGGTGGCTTGCCTTCTGTTCCTATAGAAAGAGGAAAACAGAGCTCTTACTAGGGGGAGGCAGAGATCCACAGCAAGAGACATGCCCCCAGAATGGCACCACTGCCCCAGAACAGGCCCACCCATGGGACCAGTTTATCAGGGACCCTGTGGGGATGGGGTGGAATCTTGGGGGTGAGCCCTCTTCCCCAGGCTGGGAGTGGGTGAGATGAGCCTGGGGCCTCTACATCTGAGTGCCCCCAAACCCAGCGGTCATGTCGTGAGCAAAGAAATCACACGACTTCTTCCAGCTGAGCTCGGTTCTATTGTTTCTGTGGGGAGAGTCAAAGGAAGGTGACTGAGGGTGGCCCCCTTGACTCTATTCCCCAGGCCAGGAAGCGATAGGCAGGGGCCAGGAATGGATTTAAAAGGCACAGTTCTCAGACCCAATGGGAACATGAACTGGTCAACTCTCCTCAACTCCCAAAGAAGAGGGATTTGGGTCTTTTTGGTTTTTGCCCACAGCCACAGAACTCAAAGTCTGAAACTAGATTCTCTTGAAAAGACAGTAACAGAAACCTTCAGAGGTGGAGTGCGAGAAAAGCCCACCCTTCCGCCAGCTTGTGATTTAGAAAGGTGCATTCACTCAGCAAACGTTGAGCACATACGGGCCAGGGACGGTTCTTCACAGCGGGAATAGAGGTCAGAAAAGGCAGACAGGAGCCCTTGGCCCCGAGGTTTCCATTCTAGTGGGCCTTTAACTCTCGGGCTCTCAGAGCTAACAGAAACCTCTGATACTCTCTAACTCTACCTCAGGAAACGCAAGCCCAAGAAGGAGAGTTTACAGCAGGTCCTGGACGAGGGATTAACATAAAAACACAATGACAAATCTCATTTAAACTTCACAAATGTAAGGAAAACAATACCACTCGTATTTTACGGATGTGAAAAGAGAGGCCCAAAGAGCTCAAGCAATTTGCGCTAAATCATATCCCTAGCAGATGGAGGGGTAGGATTCAAACCCAGAATTCTTAGCCAGTACCTGGCAGTTCTTCCACAATCTTAACAATTACCCTCCACCACCCCTTGGGCCCTCTGTCCCCAGGAGCCCGGCCAGCCAAGACTCACATCCTCAGGCGAGTGGCAACCACCAGAAGTGGTTGTCTCAGGGTTAGTGCCATTATTTATTTTCTTCTTTTTGGTGTCGCTTGCTGCTGTACCAACACTAGGGTTGGTCTGGGGATGATGGTCTGTCAACTGTGGAAAGGAAGAGCAGTGATACTCATGAGAACTACAAGCTCCTACAGTCACATCCTGCTTTACAGTTTATACTAAATACTCTTATAGACCATCTGATTTAATGCCACCAACTGTAGGAAATGTTGTCACAATCACTTAGTGACTGAGAGAGATTGATACCATGGCTGAAAAAAAAGGCAGTAATGGAACTTAAACTCAGTCTTCTGACTCTGAGCTCTGGGATTTTGCCCTAAATCAGCAGCTGCCAGGGACCAAAACCAGAGGCAGAGGTAGAAAAGCAAATATTAAGTAGGCAGGAACTGTGCACTATGTGGTTTAGGGTTATTCACCCTCACACGTCTGTTAGTGTTAAAAAGTACACCAGTACCTCTCAAACCTTTACATCAATGTCTCCTCATGGCAGAAGGCAGCCTTTCTGCTAAATCTGGGAATTTAACAGAAAGAGGACAACCCAAGCCTCATTTCAGAGAGAAGTCTTGTATACGCTTATAAATCTATGTGACTTTCATCCCTAAGTACATTAATGTTTTGTCTCTCAATAGAATCAAGGGAAACTGATGCTTCAGAAAGATGCCCCATATTTATCCTGTGGCACTCAAAGTACCCCAGGTTGAGATGAGATGAGGAAGACTCAAGCTAAGTTCAGTTTCCCAAGATCTGTTCCACAGAAGATAAGCAGATCTCACTCCAGAACCAGTGACTGAGGGGCACTCTGGTCCCAGAACAATGGAGAATTCAAATCTGAGGTGCAGAACTGAGAAAAAATGTTAAAATCTCTCTGGAGAGTAGAAGCCTGGGAGAAAACCAAACCAAACCCGTTCTCCCATTGCCACCCAGAGACACTGTCAACGTGTTGAGCTCATGGGGGAGGTGTAGGCTTTTCACACTGTCAAGGTCTGTGGTAAGGAAGTCAGGCAGCCTGAAACCTCTCTCTTCTAGGTCCCACAGTCCCCATTCCCCTTCCAGCTGGAAACCTGTGCTGCAACCAGAGGAAACAGAAGTGGGCAAGAACACTTAGGGGACTGGGTCCTAAGACCAAAGGCCGGTCTTGTGGTAGTAATGACAGTTTGTAGCGGGACTGTGACATCACTACATTCTACTCCTCGGTGGAGTGGTTGGGGGGGACACATGAGTGCAATGCCCAAGTTGCCGCTTTGAGACTGGGGAGGGGGTCACAAAATTGGGAGCCAGGTCCTTGGAGACGTGACCCCAAAGAGCCCCGGGAGGTCAGGCTTGGGGCGGCAGGAGGTGAGGGCCAATTAAGGAGCAAGGAGCTCCAGGAGTCACATCCCCAAAGTCACCCTGTGGCAACTGGTGAGGGCAGGTTCTGGGGCACCCAGGTCCTTGGAGCTGTGAGCTCAAGGAGCCCAGGGAGGTCGGGTTTGGGGTAGCAGGAGGTAAGGGCGGAGTATGGAGTTGGAAGCCCCAGGAGTCACCTGCTCAAAGTCACCCTGGTGTGCCGGGCAGAGCAGGGGCAGGACTTATGAGGGGGTTGGGCTGGCTGACAAGATTTTGGTGTGGGGAGCCCAGAGGCACTGGGGTGGGGGGCCCAGCCTGGTGTCCCTCAGGAGTGGCACAGACTCTGGCAGCAGTTCGGCTGTCAGAGGGGGCCTCGGGTTGGGTTGGGGTGTTGGTGCGTTTACCTGTTCCTTGGCCTCGGCCAATTTGCTCTGTCTGGTTTCTTTGGACATCATAGGATGGGTAGGGAGGTGGGGATGGGTAGGGAGGTGGGGATGGGTAGGGAGGTGGGGATGGGTAGGGAGGTGGGGTTGGGGCCACATCAGCATGATCCAGGTGAGGACAAGTATATACCTCCAGTCACCTCTACGTCGCTGTGTGACTGAGCCAGAGGAGGCGTAACCAGGGCTGCACTAGAATGCAGAATAGGGGTGTGGCCTTCATGCTTGAAGCCCATTGGTCAATGAGAAAGATGAAAGGAAAAGGAGGTGTGGCCAGACAGCAGCGTGTCATCAAGGACCTGTGTTGTCACAAGGAAAGCTGCCTATGCAACCGCTGTCCCCGCCCACTCCAGGAGAGGGGCGGGGCTGGCTTTCACTTTAAAAACTTTAAAACTTTATTACCTCAATTGAGGTACAAGTCCTATTAAAATGGAAATTTTATAGTGTGCTTGATGATTGATAAAGCAGACTTTATTATCCAACATTCCAATAAGATAATCACAATGTTTTCTCTTTTTTGGAAAAACTTTCTCTTATTCTCCTACATTAGCGTTTAGTTTTTTTAAAAAAAACAAACAAACAAGAAACATGTCTAATATCTTTAAAAATACAAAGCTTTGAGCCAGGCATGATGGCTCATGCCTGTAATCCCAGCACTTTGGGAGGCTGGGGCGGGTGGATCACCCGAATTCAGGAGTTCAAGACCAGCCTGGCCAACATGATGAAATCCTGTCTCTACTAAAAATACAAAAGTAGCTGGGCATGGTGGCAGGTGCCTGTAATCCTAGCTACTTGGGAGGCTGAGGCAGGAGAATCCCTTGAACCTGTGAGGCAGAGGTTGCAGTGAGCCAAAATCATGCCACTGCACTTCAGCCTGGGCTGCTACAGAATGTGACTCTGTCTCTAAATACACACACACACACACACACACACGCACAGACACACACACACACACACACACACACACACAAGGCTTTCCATTTAATAAGCACTCAAAGTTCTTTACAAGGTTAAAGCAAATACAGGACCCTTCTAAAGTAAGGCTAAATGCTAAGTGATGGGGGAGAGAAAAAGGACATAAATAACTCCTACTCTCATGAGTTAATCACTAAATCCGATTTTTCTAGAATCACCTGGCCTCTAAGCCCTGAAAATGAAACTGAATTTCTCACTCGATACTTGGCTATGACTTGCAATCATGAAAACCAAGAATTGTGTTATGTCACTGTGTATTGCTTGTTACCTGGGATCAAGGGTTGACTTTTTCATGATTTGCTCCATTACCTGTGTGCTTCTTCTCCCAGTCCAAACTACGCTTTTTTCTAGAGTTCTACAATTTACAGTTAGTATGTAAGGGTGGCTCTCAAACATGTAGTCTCCGGACCAGGAGCACCTGGGAACTTCTTATAAATGTAAATTCTCAGGCCCCACCCTAGACATGAATGAATCAGAAACTCTGCAGTAGGGCCCAGCAATCCGTGCTGCAATAATCCCTCCAGGTGCTCAGGAACCTCTGCCATACAGCAGGTAGAAAAATGTGTTTCCTTCTGTAGGTCCAAAGCCAGGGATACTATATGTTCTGTCTCAATATGAAACAATGACATGCAATTAAAAGACATAAATCTCCTTCCTACTTCCACCCTCCAGCCAGTGTGTTTTATTTTTATGAGTTCAATAAGAAAACGTGTGGCAATCAGAGATTTCATCTAAAAAATATATCTACAGGTATCAGTTCTCATCCAGCCTGATCTCATCCAATATCATTTCTATCCTCTTACATCTAAAGTTTTAGAAAAGGATTTTCACAACGTAAGACTCAGGCGCACTAGGAGTTCTATGATAAAAGACCAAGTAGATCTGAATGTCCAAACTTACTAGAGAAGAAAAGTGGACTCATTGGCTATATTTTCAAATTGCATTCAACAGGAAATTAAAGGTTTGAATTTTTTCCACCTTCATCCTTCCAAGTTAATAGAATTAAACCAGAATACTCCATTCTTCCAAAGCCTGTAGCCAGGCAAACTTTTACTGTATTACTTCTTGCTTTTCAATGGATATAAAGCAGAGTCCTGGTAGGCACATTTTGTATACCTGCAAAGATGCAAAACTAAACAGTTCCCTCGGTTCAATATTAAAACAAAAGTCCTGTAAACCTCAGATGGTGAGTGTAATACTTCAGCACTAGCACGAAAGCCTCAAATATAAAAAGATACCAAGAACCTTGCTAGCAAACCAAAGTAAGCTCTTGGCCGGGAGCAGTAGTTCACGCCCGTACTCCCAGCATATTGGCAAGCTAAGGTGGGGTAAGTCAGGAGTTAAAGACCAGCCTGGGCAGCATAGCGAATTCATATCTCTACAAAGAAAATTTAAAAATTAGCTGGGCTTGGCGGCACACACCTGTAGTCCTAGAGCTACTTGGGAGGCTGAGGTGGGAAAATCACTTGAGCCCAGAAGTTTGAGGCTGCAGTAGCTATGATCATGCCACTGCACTCCAGTTGGGGTGACAGAGCGAGAGCTAATTATTACATTCTGTCCTGCTCCTGTTTCCACTAAAATCACTAACTTAAAATGTGTTCATTCAGCAGGATAAAAATTAAGTGAAATTTGACTTTGGTGCTTTGCTAGCAAAAAATAAATAAATAAAGTGAAATGACAAATTACTTACTGGGAGAAGATCTTTGTAACCTCAATGACAGATTAAAGGTTTGTATCCTTAGCCTATAAAGAAATCTTTTAAATTACTCAGAAAAAAAAAATGAATGATTTGCAGCAGAAAATGGGCAATGGAGAAACCAGCACTTCCCACAAGAATAAAAATGGCCAATGAGCAAATGAAAAAGATTCAAAAGCACTAGAAATCAAAGAAAGGTAATGAAAACAATGAGATTTTCTGCTTAAAGACCAGCGAAGACGACAAATGGAAGGCGGAACCTGGAGCTCTGTCCCTGTTGGTGGGAGCGTAAACTCAACCAATTTTCCTATAGGATGATTTGAACATTTGTTTTAAAAATCCTAAAACTGTTTTATATTATTTTCTTCTAGAAATTCTACTTCTATGAATTCAGTGCAAAAATCCTCACTCGAGTCCATTAAAATATATATAGAAGGAAATCCACCTCTGGGGTGGCAATGATTCACTTAACATACATCCAGCTGTTGAAAGTGATGATGCCAGGATATATTTCTCCCATAGAAACATGCTTAAAATATAGTAAGTGACAAAAGACCATGTATTGTGATTCTACTTTTTAAAATGTTTACAGCATAAAAAGTGTGAAAAGCAACAAACCGGAATGTTTTGAGTGGCAAAATTAAAGATTTTTCTTTACATTTTGTCATCCAAATTATTACAAAAACAATGTGATTTCCTTTATAATCATGGAAAAGTGTTATTTTCATTTATTTATATTTACATTTCTTTTCTTTTTCTTCTTTTTTCTCCTGTATGTATCCCACATAGGCTACAGAGCTTAAATCCCTGCCTCTTGAGAGAAATCAGCCCGTTTTCAGGACATGCAATACACAAAGCTGCCCCATCTTCCCTTTATTTTTATTTTTATCTTATTTATTTATTTATTTATTTATTTATTTATTTATTTATTTATTTATGTTGAGATGGAGTCTCACTCTGTTGCCCAGGCTGGAGTGCGGTGGCGCATCTCAGCTCACTGCAACCTCCATATCCCGAGATCAAGCGATTCCCCTGCCTCAGCCTCCCGAGTACCTGGGACTATAGGCATGCACCACCATGCCCAGCTAATTTTTGTATTTTTAGTAGAGAGGAAGTTTTACCATCTTGGACAGGCTGGTCTCGAACTCCTGACCTCAAGTGATCCGTCTGCCTTGGCCTCCCAAAGTGCTGGGATTACAGGCATGAGCCACTGTGCCTGGCCTGTCATATTATTTCTAAACATTTGAGTGACATTTCAATTAAGTGAAATTTAATTCTTACTGACCTGATCTCTTATCCTCTGTTTAATGATACCTTCCAGTTGAAAGGTGTTTCCTCTGTAATCACGGGTGCCAAAGGAAATACAACATGTATTCATTAGGTGGATATCCACTAAACCACGGATTCATGCATTGTAGTCCTTAGACCCTCAGCATCAGAAACACGTGGGAACTTGTTAGACATGCAAATTCCTGGGCCAGCCCCACACCTCCTGAATCAGAAAGTGGGGAAGGACAGCTATCTGTGCTTTAATAAGCCTTGAGATGCTCCCTGAAGTTTGAAAACTACAGAACTAGAATACATATGGTAGTAAGTGCTCATACTTTATCCAAGGTACTAGGGACTCTTCCCCTCTTTTCCATTCTCTTTTCTGTTGAAATAAAATGAGAGCTCCTTTTGACTTAATGGGTATAAGAAAGAAGGCAATGAGATGACCAGGGTTTCAAGTTAGAGTTCAAAATTTAATCAGTGGACAGTGACAGGATGCAAGCCTTCTAAACAGATTGCTGCAAGGAAGCTGATTATAATCTATACAGTAGGTATCATTAGTGTATTGATGTTAAATTTTGGGGGTGGATTAATGGTATTGTGATTACATAGGAGAAGTCCTGGTTCCTAGAAGATATCTGCGAAAGTACTTAACAGTGAAATGCTCTGATACTGCCAACTTACTTTGAAATGATTCAGAGGGAAAAAGGGCACATATACAATCTTCCATACGCAGAAGACAGAAAACAAGTGTGACAAAACATTAACTAGTGAATCCAGTTGAATAGCATACAGATGTTCACTGTATGATTTTATCAACTTTTCTGTGTTTGCAAGTTTTCAAAATAAAAGTTGAGGGAAAGAAACATCACCCCAAATCTTTCTATGAAATGGGACCACAGAAAAAGCAGAGAAGTGAACACTTTGCAGAAAAGAGCACTGCACCCATCCGGACAGCATGGTCAAAGTGCAGGCTCTCCTCCAGGAGGCTCTTCTCTGGTCTCTTCTGTGCTGTCACTTCCCCCACATGCAGCCAAGGCTTTTTTCTAACAACTCTTTTTCTAAAGATGTAATTTTTGTCATTCATCTAAGAAAGAGAAGAAAAGAATTAGTATACATTTAGAAAATAAAATTACACTTACATTTGTGAAAAAGCAAAAAATACTTTGAAAAGTGGGGAAGCAAGAAATGTACTGTTCTACAATTCTGTTCTGTTCTTACCATCTTTTTATTCTGCCAATGACTTCCTATTCCTGCTGTGTATGGTGGGGTGAGCTGCAAATGATTTCTTTTCCTCATTGATTTAAAATCTCATGTTTATAATGTACCAAACTCCCCCAGAAGCATTTGGGTTTATTTCTGGGCTCTATTCTATTCAAGTAATCTATCTGTTCACAAGCCACTATCAATTTTGATTATTGGAGCATCCTAAAGTTAAGTAATTGTTGTTTTTGTTTTTGAGATGCAGTCTCTCACTCTGCCGCCCAGCTGGACTGCAGTGGCGTGATCTAGGCTCACTGCAAGCTCCACCTCCCGGGTTCATGGCATTCTCCTGCCTCAGCCTCCCGAGTAGCTGGGACTACAGGCACCTGCCACCACGCCTGGCTAATTTTTTGTATGTTTAGTAGAGATGGGGTTTCACCTTGTTAGCCAGGATGGTCTCGATCTCCTGACCTCGTGATCCACCTGCCTCGGCCTCCCAAAGTGCTGGGATTACAGGCGTGAGCCACCGCGCCTGGCCCTGAATTTGCTTGAGTTTTTAGCTCTCTCACCCATTTCAGGATTGTCACCACCCATATCTGACACGTCCTCCTCCTCCTCTAAATCTTCTAGGTCCTCCTGGCCATCAGCCTCTGTTTCTGAACCAGCCTCTTCATGCTCCTGTTCTTCACTCTCTGGGAGAAGACTGATATCTTCATCTTTCTTTCACTAACCGCATTCTGGAAGCACGGTAAAATTGCTTCATTTTGCAATTCCAGTTGTTGCAAAGTCTGCTCATCATCAAAACTTTCTATCACAAGTTTTTGTAAAGAGCTGCCATGGATTCTACCATTCTCTACTGTTTTATTAAAGTCATAAAGCACTTTTGTTAAAGAAGTGAACTTTGGTTCCAATCCATCTTGAAACCTATTGGGAGGAATTAAATGAGATTTAGAATTATAGATAATAATTTCACAGCCCTCTTAATTAAAAGAAAAATAAAAACCTCAACTCTTCTGTAAAATCAAATTTGAATAAAGTGTAAGTATAGATTCTGGCCCCAACAATATATAAGCTGATGAGCCACAATGATATATAAAACCTGTCAACCAAGTATTTGTGAATCAGCTGTATAGATTGTTGGCAGGAAAAGCATTACAAATCTATTTGCTTGGAGATATATAGTGAATTAGCCTTAAATTATCTACTCTGCTACATTATATACCACTCCATTCATTCATTCCCTTATTCACTCAATGATCAACATTTGCTTTGGCTACAGTGGTCAAGGAAAACCTCTCCTAGATGTGACATCTGAGATGAAACTTACAGACAAGTATAGTCTTATAAAGATTGGGAAACATGTATTCCAGGCGGAAGAAACAGCAAGAACAAATTCTCTAAGATGCAATTGAGCTTGGTAAGCCTGAGGAATAAAAAAAGTGAGCATGGCTATAGCGTGAAGGAGGCAGAAGGTGAAGTTGGAGAGACTGATGGGAGCCAAATTCTGCAGGGCTCAAGGGTAAGAGTTTGCCGTTTTAAGTGTAATAAGAAAATATGAGAAGATTTTAAGCAGAAGGATGAAATGATGATTTATACGAAGGAAGAAGAAAGGGAGGAAGGAGGAGGAGGAAAGTAGAGTGATTAGAAGGTTGATGCAGCATTCCAGGCAAAGGATGATGGTGATTTAAGCTGGAGTTAGAGCAGTGAATATGCTGAGTACAGTTTGGAGGTAGAACTGACAGGATTGCTAAGGAATTAGATACAGAATAGAGAAAAGTGAAGACATCAAAATAGCAGCCTAGTTTTATGTGCGAGCAACTGGAGAGACAGAACTGCCATTTAGTGCGATAGGCAAGGCTTGAGTGGTGGAGCAAGGGGAAAGGACTTCAGCGGATGGCAGAGTGTAGGTGGGTAGAAACAGCATTCTACTGTATTTTGGACACAGTGAATTTGTGATGCTGAGAGGACCAAAATTTAAAAAATTGTTAAAAACCGTACGGTGCGGATATCCCAGTTGTGCGCTACTGAATTCCAACTAAGCTCAGTCTGGAGTTGCTTGTGAGCAAGGAACTCAAGGGAGAGGTTGGAGTTTGAAACATAAATGAGTCATAATTTTATAGGTCATATTTGAAGTTCTTCAACAAAATACACATAAAACGTTTGTGTTGGGAAGAGACATGAAAGTTCTAATTCTCAAGAAGCTTAGTGGGGTAGACAGACAAGTGACAAGTTTGTGTTTTCAATAAAGTATGATGGCAGGTAAACACTGAGTGCTTTAGGAGCACAGGCGGAAGGAGAAACCAACACAGTTGTGTGTAGGGGGATGGGGGCCGTAATAAGCCTCAAGGGGAGCTTATAGGCGTGAATAACTGAGGTTAGGTTGATTTCAATAACATTCAACTGAGAGATCCATACTGTAAAAGTTTTAACAATTTTTAAAATTTTGATAGCCTAGGTCCTCTGAAATGTGGGGAAAAGTGATTTACATTTCCCCTTACCTTCCCCCAGCTCCACAATTTGCCAGGGGTCTGCAACCCGTGTCCACGTGCGACCGCAGTCGCACCCAAGCCCGGGATCTGTGCACTTACGTGAGGATGCTCTCGGGCCAGCCAGTGGCTTTGCCCACCTCCCTCAGACACCGCTCCAGGGTCCGTCAGCGCCAGGCCCATGGGCCATGGCTGTCTGCAACTCCCGACACAAGCTGCAAGGCAAGAGAGCCGCTGGGAAACCGCACCGCAAGGATGCTGGCATTGGAACAGGAATTAAAAGAAATGAAAAAATGTGTAAGCAAAAACTCAGCTGTATGTAAAAAAAAACCAATTCCCCCTGAGAATGAGAAAGAGCCTTAGTCCTTTAAAAAAACTACCTGTTTTCCTATGGCTAGTGAGCCTTATCGCTCCCTTCCCAGGCATTATCAAAACCCTAATTCCCTAACTGTGCAACTGCAAGGTCACTAAACAAACGAATGCAAGTCACAAAACATATTTTTCCTAAAAACATAAAAAAAAAAAAAAACATAATGCGTGCTTCAATTAAATAACCCTCTGTTTCTCGCTTCTGTAATATGCTTCCCCCTGCACAGATCTACCCGGGCTCCACAAAATGCTAAAAGATAACTCTTTATTCAGCTCAACGCTTTGATCTGCCTGGCGTGGTGGCTCACTCTTGTGATCCCAGGACTTTGGACGGCCAAGTAGGGTGGATCGCTTGTGCCTTGGAGTTCCAGACAGGCCTGGGCAACATGGTGAAACCTGGTCTTTTTGTTTTGTGTTGTTTTGAGACGGAGTTTCGCTCTTGTTGCCCAGGCTGGAATGCAGTGGCTGGGTCTCTGCTTGCCGCGACTTCCGCCTCCCGGGTTTCGGTCGTTGTCCTGCATCAGCCTCCAGAGTGGCTGGGATTGCAGGCATAAGCCACCAAGCCCGGCTAATTTTGTATTTTTTTTTTATTTTTATTTTGGTACAGATGGGGTTTCTCCCTGTTGGTCAGGCTGGTCTCAAACTCCCGACCTCAGGTGATCCACCTGCCTAGGCCTCCCGAGGTGCTAGGATTGCAGGCTTGAGCCACCGCTCCCGGCCCAATTTGTTAATCAGAAAGGAATAGATCGTCCTGGTGTGGTGGCTCACGCTTGTGATCCCAGTACTTTGGATGGCCCAGCGCGGGGTATCCCTTGAGCCTAGGAGTTCCAGACCTGCCTGGGCAACATGGTGAAACCCGGTCTCTCTCTCTTTTTTTTTTTTTATGAGGCGGAGTTTCGCTCTTGTTGCCCAGGGTGGAGTGCAGTGGCTGGGTCTCCGCTCGCAGCGACTTCTGCCTCCAGGGTTTTAGTAGTTCTCCTGCCTCAGTCTCCGGAGTGGCTGGGATTGCAGGCCTGACCAACATTGCTCTGCTAATTTTTTTTTATTTGTTTTTGGTAGAGACGGGGTTTCTCCATGCTGGGCAAGCTGATCTCAAACTCCAGACCTCAGGTTATCCGCCCACCTCGGCCTCTGGGGATGCTGGAATTGCAGGCGTGAGCCAGCGCACACACCCAATTTATTTTTATTTCATTTTTTATTTTTATATATATATACTTTTGAGACGGAGTCTCACTTTGTCACCCAGGCTGGAGTGCAGTGGTGCGCTGTCTCGGCTCACTGCAACCTCTGCCTCCCAGGTTCAAGTGATTCTCCTGCCTCAGCCGCCTGAGTAGCTGAGATTACAGGCGCCCGCTAGCACACCCATCTAATTTTTATTTATTTATTTATTTATTTATTTATTTTGTATTTTTAGTAGAGATGGGTTTTCATCATGTTGGCCAGGCTGGTCTCGAACTCCGGACCTCAGGTAAACCCACCTCGGCCTCCCAAAGTGCTGGGATGACAGGAAGGATCGGCCTGGCGTGGTGGCTCACGCTTTTGATCCCAGGAGTTTGGACGGGCCGAGCGTGGCGGATCCCTTGATCCTAGGAGTTCTAGACCAGCCTGGGCAACATGGTGAAAACCGGTCTCTCTCTCTCTCTCTCTTTTTTTTTTTTTTTGAGGCATAGTTTCCCTCTTGTTGCAGGGCTGGAGTGCAGTGGTGCGGTGTCGGCTCCCCGCGGCCTCTGCCTCTGGGTTTGGGTGGTTCTCCTGCCTCAGCCTCCGAGTGACTGGGATTGCAGGCGGGAGCCACCATGCCCGGCTCTTTTTTTTTTTTTTTTTCTGGTAGAGACAGGTCTCTCCATGTTGGTCAGGCTGGTCTCAAACTCCCGACCTCAGGTGATCCGCCCGCCACGGCCTCCCGGGGTGCTGGGACTGCAGGCGTGAGCCACCCTCCTGGCCCAATTTATTAATCAGAAAGAAATAGATCGGCCTGGCGTGGTGGCTCACGCTTTTGATCCCAGGACTTTGGACAACCGAGCGTGGGGAATTGCTTGAGCCTAAGAGTTCCAGACCTGCCTGGGCAACATGGTGAAAATCTGTCTCTTATTATTATTTTTTTTTTTTTTTTTTGAGGCGGAGTTTCCCTCTTGTTGCCCAGGCTGGAGTGCAGTGGCTGGGTCTCCGCTCGCGGCGAATTCTGCATCCCGGGTTTTGGTGGTTCTCCTGCCTCAGCCTCCTGAGTAGCTGGGATTACAGGCACCTGCCGCCACACCCGGCTAATTTTTTTTTTTTGTATTTTTAGTAGAGACGGGTTTTCATCATGTTGGCCAGGCTGGTCTCAAATTCCTGACCTCCGGTGATCCACCCACCTCCGCCTCCCCAAGTGCTGGGATGACAGGCGTGATCGGCCTGGCGTGGTGGCTCACGCTTTTGATTCCAGGACTTTGGACTGGCCAAGCGTGGGGGATTGCTTGAGCCTAGGAGTTCCAGACCGGCCTGGGCAACATGGTTAAACCCAGTCTTTTTTTAAATTCCTTTATTATTATTATTATTTTTTTTTTTTTTGAGACGGAGTCTCTCTGTCGCCCAGGCTGGAGTGCAGTGGCGCTATCTCGGCTCACTGCAGCCTCTGCCTCCCAGGGTCAAGGGATTCTCCTGCCTCAGCCTCCTGAGTAGCTGGGATTACAGGCGCCCACCACCACACCCGGCTAATTTTTTTTTATTTTTTAGTAGATCGTGGTAACTGCCTTAAAATGATGATTGTTCAGAAAGTCAGTTTAATTTAGATACTAAGGATATTGAGGTTATGTAACATTTGAGCAAGTTCTAAAAAAAAAGAGAAATAGTATATTTAATTGCTAATAAAGTATTGTCAACTCACAAATATATTCACATAGCATACATTTCAAGAGCAGAATAACCATGAATATAAAAGGAATTAGCAAAAACGAGACAAAAAAGACATGAAGAAATAAAAACAGATGGAACAAATAGCACAAAATACGATGAAAGTTATAAAAGAAACTATGCCAACAATCACAATAAATGTAAATAGACTGAATAATTAAGAGAAAATGACTATAAAACAGAATTAGGGCACGCGTGGTGGCTCATGCCTGTAATCCCAGCACTTTGGGAGGATGAGGCAGGCGGAGGGATCACAAGGTCAGGAGTTCGAGAGCAGCCTGACCAACATGGTGAAACCCCATCTCTGCTAATACAAAAATTAGCCGGCGTGGTGGTGAACATCTGTAATCCCAGTTACTCAGGAGGCTGAGGCAGGAGAATCGCTTGAATCCAGGAGGCAGAGGTTGCAGTGCCGAGATCACACCATTACACTCCAGCCTGGGCAACAGAGCAAGACTCCGTATCAAAAAAAAAAACACACAAAAAAAACACAAAAAACAGAAAATAAACAGTATGAAAAGACATCTAAAACATAAAGTCACAGAAAGACTGAGAGAGATTGAAAAAAGATACACATGTCATATGTACCCAACCCAAAGAAGGGTTGGAAGCTATATTATTATCAGATAAAATAGGCTTTGGGCAAAAAGCAATATGGGAGATTTTTTAAGGTCACAATATGATGATAAAAATTCTAATAAACCAAGGGAGAAGGTAATCTAAAATGTTAATGTATCTAATAACTAGCACTCAAAATACATGAAAGCAAAATATGACAAAATTGCAACCCTCAGAGGGCAATTTAAATACATATCTCAGTATCTGATAAAAGAGACAAAAAACAATCAGCATAGACATAGAAGATTTACATCTCTCTAGAAAATTAACAAGCTTGACCTAATGTAGAGAAAAAACATATCTCTCCAAAGTGACAGCATTCACCCCCCCCAAGTACATATGTACTGAGCCATAAGGAAAATCTCAACAAATTCCAAAGAAGCGGAATCATGCATCCATCTTTCTCTCTAACCATAATCTCATTAAACTAAAAACAATAATAAAAAGATAAAGTAAAAAGCCAGAAAGGCAGATGCTAAATGAGAAAGTGACAGAAAAGTTACAGATTTTGTTAAGCATACAAAGCTTCTATAGGGTAAAGCAGTCAAAGGGATATGCAAATTTACACAGAAATCCAACCGATATAAATCCTTGAAAGATACTACATACAGATATTTCATCAGTTCTCACATGCCAAACCCAGCAAAGCCAAACTTTGGAGCCTCCCCTGCGAGCAGACCTGCCACAGGAGGAGAGGCAGCACAAACCTCCCTTTGCAGTGAAAATGCCACATTGTGTGTGCTTCTTACCCCATCACCTCTTTGGAAGTGGCCCCACTCAGTGCTAGCTGAGAATCGCTTCCCTCATACCACTCTCAGTAGTTCACCCCAAGACACACTGGACAACTCTGTACCTGGTAAGTCATTGTGAATCCAATTAATAATGGCATTCAGAAAGTTAGGAATCTTTGAATTATTAGATTCATAGTGATATTCAAAAGAAAGAAAACGACATCATTTCTGTTCCACGCATGTTGCCCACATTCACTGCGTAAAAGGCAAAGGGAACTGTGAGTACCCACAAAGAACCTGATATTGACGGCACATACATTTCTTCATTAGGAAGAATAAATTTAGACTGTAACAATTTAAAAAACCAGAAAATACAACTGTACATTTTAGCTCTTATTAAAATCCAAGAGGTTTAACTTATTTGCTCCTTGTTTAGGTAATTAGTGTCTAAAACATTTCAAAGATAACATATATAGTGGCTACGATTTCTAGTACTTTTTAAAAATTCAAGCCCAGTCTCTTCTAATTAAATGTATAAATGATTTATCTCTGTCTTTCTTAAAAAGAACCAAGAGCCCCAATTAAAAAGTAAAACTTAAATTTCCTCTTAAAAAATTGTTACGTCAAAATTATCGAATAAACCATAGTTCAGAAAATAATTTCTGAATTAAGAAAATATGAATAATAAAACCAACAGTTTATGTGCTGAATTTCAAATTTTTATTTTTTATTATTTTTAAAATTTTGTTTTAAGTTCTAGGGTACATGTGCAGGAGTGTTACGTAGGGAAACGTGTGCCATGGTGGTTTGGTCCACCTATCAACTCATCACCTCAGTGTTAAGCCCAGCACGCATTAGCTATTTTTCCTGATGCTCCTCCCCCACCCGCCCTGACAGGCCCCAGTATGTGTTGTTTCCCTTCCTGTGTCCATGTGTTCTCATTGAACCTCACATTTTTAAATACAGCATATGCCAGGTGTCATTTCAGTACCCATGATTATACATAGTATAATTATACATAGTATATGTATATGTGTAAATATATGTATATGTGTACATATATGTATGTAATATGTGTATGTAAATATTATGTAAATATGTATGTATGTAAGTATATATGTAAATATGTATGTGAATGTATGTAAATATATACACATGTAAATATGTATGTAAAAATATGTACGTAAATATATGTATATATATAAATGTAAAATATGTAAATATTTGTAAATGTAAAATATGTAAATGTAAAATAAATGTAGAATGTCAAATGTAAATGTAAAATGTAAAATAAATGTAAAATGTAAAATAAATGTAAAATGTAAATGCAAAATATGTAAATATATGTATATGTGTAAATATATGTGTGTAAATATATATGTATATGTGTAATATATATGTATATGTGTAAATATATATGTATATATAACACAGCATACAGCATATGCCAGGTGTCATTTCAGTACCCATAATTATACATAGTATAATTATACATAGTATAATTAGACTACTATGTTAGCTAAAAAATGTTGATTAGATACAAATGTATAAATTTATCTTCTCTAAAAGTGGAAATTCTCTAGAGGCTATTTCCAGCTTCTGTGTGGATTGTAGAGCAGGCTGCTACCTGTACCCCAAAAATGAACACCTTAAAAAAAAGACAAGTTTCTCAGCCTCCCTATTGCACACACATATGAAAAATATGTTAAATTCAACGCCAACTATTCCTGAGATCAACACAGCAGTGATCCCAAAGAGAAAATTTCTCTTTGCTAATGGGCACAAACTTGAAGGGCAAAGCAGTGGAAGGGTAAGTCTGCAGACTCGGGTGGGGCTCAAGTCAGAATCACGTGGAAGATCATTGCCACATGTTTTTGTTTTTTTAAATAGCAAACACCACCAAGTGGAGCCCGCCGGGTTTAGTAGATATTAAACCTCTAAGGAGTGGCACATCCGAGACTGAAATTCCCATCTTTTGATTCCCAGCTCAAGGTCTCTGAAATGCCAGCACCAGCTGTGAAATTGTTCTTCTGCATTTTCATGGAGACCTTTTCTTCTATACTGCCATACTCTTTTTTTTGGAACAGTTATACCTGATCTTCCTATTTTTGTGTGTGTTCCACCGAAAGTTTTTCACTCTAAATACTTCCCTCTTTCCAACTGAGCATTTACATCTGTAACAAGGACAAAAACATCTAACATCTCTCTCACCCTTGGTTTGTGTTTTGTTTTGTTTGTTTTTGAGACAGGGTCTTGCTCTGTCACCCAGGCTGGAGTGCAGTGGCGTGATCACCGTTCACTGCAGCCTCGAGCTCCTGAGCTGAAGCAATTTTCCCACCTCAACCTCTGAGTAGCTGAGACTATAGGTGTGTGCCACCACGCCTGGCTAATATTTGTATTTTTTGTAGAGATGAGTTTTTGCCATGTTGCCCAGGCTGGTATTGAACTCCTGGCTTAAGTGATCCTCCTGCCTAGGCTTCCCAAAGTGCTGGAAGGAATTACAGGTATGAGCCACCGTGCCTGGCCTCACCATTGTTAAAATTATGGAAATCGTGTTTGCAAAGCAGCTTGGCCTGTTTGGAAAAGGGTGTCATAATTTCTCAGGTAACTCCAAAAAGAGAAAGCTACGAAAATTACTTTAATACATTCATTACAGTCTCAGTATAAGATTATAGCTTCCTCTCCCAA
The DNA here is from genome assembly GCF_000001405.40 of Homo sapiens. NCBI lineage: Eukaryota > Metazoa > Chordata > Mammalia > Primates > Hominidae > Homo > Homo sapiens. The sequence goes on along the minus strand of NW_003315943.1, from coordinate 238,383 downwards.
AGCGTAACCACAACCTGACGCAGGATGAGTTGGTTTGAAAATACCGCATACAATATCCTCTTGAGTAGAATCATAATTTAGAACTCTAAAACTGACCAGAAACAAAACTGTCCAAGTTTGTTTAACGTAATGTGTTTCAACTTATTTGACTAGAAAACCCTTCATTCGTGCAACACTTATAAACATCCCATGGCAAATCTAGTTTTCTATGAATAATGAACAAAACATTTATAATTTAAAACTAAAATTGTCTTCTAAGCAGAGATCTACGTATCAATAAAATGAAGAAATAAAATTTCCATACTGTTTTCTTCCCAATACAAGGATTAGAAGGAAAGGGAAAAGAGTAACAGCGAGAATCAATAGCCCATGTCTGGCCAGGCTCCATGGCTCAATCACACCTGTAATCCCAGCAATTTCAGAAGCTGAGGCGGGAGGATCACTGGCCTTTAGTGATCCTTGAATGAAACTCCATCTCTAAAAAATTAAAAATATTAGCTTAGAGAATCATTTGGGCCCAGGAGTTTGAGGCTGTATTGAACTATGACTATGCTACTGCATTCCAGCCTGGGCAACAGGCTGCTTAAACCTGGAGGGGCGGAGCTTGCAGTGAGCCGAGATCGTGCCACTGCACTCCAGCCTGGGCAAAGGAGCCAGACTCCGTGGCAAAAAAAAAAAAAAAAAAAAAGAGATTCTATTCACAATAGCAACAAAACCCTGAGAATATATCTAGCAAAGTATACACAAGGCCTTTCATGAAGAGTATTGCCATAGCCTGAATGTGTCTCCCAAAATTCATGTATTAAAACTTAATTCCCAAGATGATAGTACTAAGAAGTGGGGCCTTTAAGAAGTGATTAAGACATAAGGGTGAGCCCTCATGCATGAGATTAGTGCCTTCCTTATAAAAGGGCTTGTGGGTGGTGGTAAATCTGTCCCTTCTGCCTCATGAGAACATAGCATTTGCCTGCTCCAGAGGAAGCAGCATTCAACGTACCATCTTGGAAGCAGAGACCAGGCCCTCACTAGACACTGTGTCTGCTGGAGTCTTGATCTTGTTCTTCCCAACCTCCAGAACTGAGAAAATAAACTTCTGCTCTGTGTAAATTACCCAGTCTCAGGTGTTTTGTTATAGCACTATGAAGGGACTAAGACAAATATAAAAATTACCCAGGGACTTAAAGGAAGAACTGACTAAACTGAAATACATGCCATATATATTATGAATCGTAGGACTCAATGCTATAAACATACTACTTCTCAACAAATTAATCTATAAATTCAAGAAATTCCTACACAAATCCCAATAGAATTTTTTTGTGGAACTCGAGAGGCTCATCCTAAAATTCATACAGTCACTTGAGGGGCCAAGAATAGTGTAACAGGGCTGGCGGGGCTGGTGGCTCACACCTGTAGTCCCAGTACTTTGGGAAGTCAAGACTGGAGGATGGTTTGAACCCAGGAGTTCAAGACCAGCCTAGGCAACATAGCAAGATGTTGTCTCAAAATATTAAAAATAAATAAATAAATAAATAAATAAATAAATAAAAAGAAGGTTAAGTATGCACATTTTGTTGTGAATTTCAATTTTATAGTGTTTTTTTTTTTTTTTTGAGACAGGGTCTTGCTCTGTCACCCAGGCTGGAGTGCAGTGGTGCCATCTTGATTCACTGCAACCTCTGCGTGGGCTCAAGCAATCCTCCCGCCTCACTCTCTGGAGTAGCTGGGACCACAGTTATGTGCCACCACACCTGACTAATTTTTATATTTTTTTTTTGTAGAGATGGGGTTTTTCCATGTTGCCCAGGTTGTTCTCAAACTCATCCACCTGCCTTGGCCTCCGTAAGTGAGATCACAGACATGGGCCACTGTGCCCGGTCTAGTGCGCTTTTTTTTTTTTTTTTTTTTTTTAACCAAACAAACGATGAAGTCTCAGGAGTAAAAGTTGATACACAAGTAAATTTTATTGGTAATGTTTTTGTGTGGTCTTTAAGCAGAGGGAAAATTAGTCTGCATTATGGTGTATCCAGACTAAATAACTGATATTAAAATGAAATTATCCTTAGGATTTGCAATCTTAGAGAAAACTTTTTCATTTTTTTTGAGTTACAAATTATCTTCACTTACATTTGAGAACAGTGAGTCACAGAGGGATTAAGTATCTTACTCAAGATCTTGCAAGTGTTTGGTTTGAACCCAATCTTTTCACTCTGCAGAACTCAGAGTCACTCTTATTTGGAAACTTTTTAACTGATGTGGATCCTCTAATATGGGCTTCCTATTATTCATTCCGTATTAGTCAGAAGTTTTGCAAGCAGGCAGAATTCATTTTGCCAATTACGGGATTTTCCCTCAGTTGCAGTCAAGGTTCATAAAACTATAACTATTTATCTTTAATTATAAATTTTGTTTTTGAGACAAAGTCTTGCTCTGTTGCTCAGACTGGGATCCAGTGGCACAGTAACAGCCCATTGCAGCTTTGAACTCCTGGGCTCAAGGGATCCTCCGCCTCAGCCTCCCAAGTATCTGGGACTACAAGTGCATGCCATCATCCCTGGCTAATTTTGTTAAAAAAAAAATTGTAGAGATAGGGTCTTGCTTCGTTGCCCAGGCTGGTCTCAAACTCCTGGCCTCAAGCAAGTCTTCAGCCTTGGTCTCCCAAAGGGCTGAGATTACAGGTGTCAGCCATTGCACCTGGCCAAAACTGTAACTATATATACACACACACATAACTACATATATATGTGTGTGTGTATGTATGTGTGTGTGTATATATATTTTTATATATAAATAGATATATCTGAAAGGCATCAAAAGAAAAAAGCTGTAACTTTTAGTCTTGATCTTGATAGTGACTTGATTAGGCTATCTGTTTAACATCAAAGATGCAAATTAATGCTTTCTTTGGGTGAGCATATTAAAAATGCAGAAAATATTGGAGTAGTTTTTTATGTTAAATAAATTGTATTCTGTGTATTTAAGGTATACAACATGATTTTATGGGATGCATATAGATGGTTAAAAAAAATTACTACAGTGAAGCAAATTAACGTATCCTTCAACTCAGATAGTTACCCGTTTTCTTTTTGTTTGGTGGCAAGAGGAGCTTAAAATCTCATTTAGCGTGAATCCCAAATACAGCACAATTTTATTACCTATATTTCTCGCGTTGTACATTATATTTCTAGGCTTGTTCATCCTACATATCTGCTACTGTGTAACCTCTGAGCTATGTCCACCCATTTTCTCTCTTGCCCCCCAAGTAATTTCCTAAAGTGTCTCATATAAAAAGGCAGTAGCTTTCAGCTTAAACTTTTTCTCTGTATATATTTAAGTCAATTTCTTTGAGGTATGTTTTTCTCTCCAGAATAGTTAGATGTAGGCATACCACTTTAATGTTGACACTAGTTCACCTAGAACTTATCTTCTGCAAATCTGTCTCTATGTCCATCTCTGTCTCCATCTTTGTCTCTATCTTTATCTCTGTCTATCTATCTATCCATCCATCCATCCATCCATCTATCTATCTATCCATCTGTCTATCTAACTAAAGCAAATTCATGCCCTTCTCCTATTTATGGAATCGAGACCATAAACAGAGGTGAGGGAAAGAATTTGGCAGGAATTGCGATGTGTATTACCTGTGGCATAAGGAAACTTTACAGAACTAGGGTCAAAAGTATACTTTCTAGTTCTTTCCCATGGCTTTTCACTTTGATGTAGTCCTTATCAGGCAACTGAGGTTTTATATAAGTCCCCTGATTCTTAGAACATGAAGGTGTAGTATTCAAGTTTGGTCCCTTGAAACCACAATTTTTGTTAAAAAAAATTAAGAAAATTGTATAATTTCCTCAGCAAATACATATTGATCATCTGTTATACAGCCATGAGAAGTGGTTCTGTTGAACACGTTTATTTTATCAGATCCCAATTCTAAACCAGGCATAGAATGGAAACCATGAAGGTAGGATGAAATAACTTCTGAATGTTTGAAAATAGTGTACTTAAAAATAAATATCAGGTGTTTTTGTTTTGTTTTTTGTTTTTTGTTTTTGAGACAGGGTCTCACTCTGTCACCCAGGCTGGAGTGTGGTGGTGCCATCTCACCTCATTGCAGCCTTGACCTCCCAGGCTCGGGTGATCTCCCACCTCGGCCTCCCAAGTAGCTGGGACTACAGGCACATGCCACCATGCCCAGCTAATTTTTTGTATTTTTTGTAGAGACAGGGTTTCACCATGTTGCCCAAGCTGGTCTAGAACTCCTGGGCTTAAGCGATCTTCCCACCTCAGCCTCCCAAAGTGCCAGGATTACAGGCATGAGCCACCATGCCTGGCTGAAAATACCAGGTTTTTAAGTATCAGCACTGCCTCTTCAATCTTTTCTATTACTATGTTGTGCTCAGTGGTATTTTTTACTGAATTAGAGCAGTGCTGTTCAATGGAACCTTCTTTGAGGATGGAAATCTTTTATGTCTCTGCTGTGTGGGTATGGTATTAGCTGGGTATGGGGCACCTGCCTATAGTCCCAGCTACTCAAGAGGCTGAGGTGGGAGGATCACTTGAGCCCAGGAGGCCGAGTCTGCAGGTTCGTACCACTGCAATTCAGCCTGTGTGACAGAATGAGACTCAGTCTCAGAATAAAATGAAATAAGGAAATAAAAATGTAATTGTTGAAATAAGAAACTAGTGGATGGATTAGACACGAGAAGAAAGAATTAATTGTTTAGGCGATTCTCTCCAAAAAGTAAGTCAGCATGTCACACAGAGAGACATGAGGATGGATGATAGGGCAGAAGTTGGTGGGCTTGGAGGGGAGAGGAAGATCAGAATGAGGTCCAAAATGTGTCTTAGTGAAATCCCAGGAGGAGATATTAAAATTATATTAGAAAGTGAAAGAAATAGAAGTTTTATTTATTTATTTATTTATTTTGAGAAGGAGTCTCGCTCTGTAGCCCAGGCTCGAGTGCAGTGGCACGATCTGAGCTCACTGCAAGCTCCACCTCCTGGGTTCACGCCATTCTCCTGCCTCAGCTTCCCAAGTAGCTGGGACTACAGGCACCCACCACCACGCCTGGCTAATTTTTTGTATTTTTAGTAGAGATGTGGTTTCACCTTTTTAGTCAGGATGGTCTCAATCTCCTGACCTCATGATCCGCCAGCCTCAGGCTCCTAAAGTGCTGGAATTATACGCATAAGCCACTGCACCCGGCCCAAAAGCTTTGTGTTTTTACAAATATTACACATGTTTCTTGTTTAAGAAAAAAAGTCTTCACAATAACGTAGGAGAATAAGAGAAACATTTTTCCAAAAAAGAGAAGTCATTGTGATTATTTTATCTTATTGGAATGTTGGATAATATAGTCTGCTTCAGTAATCATCAAGCATGCTATGGATTTTCCATGTTCATAGGATCTGTATCTCGGTTAAGGTAATACTGGTAATTTTTGTACTCTATGAAAAATATAGGCCAAAATCATAGACCTTGCATAGAAGCTGGATCATGAAGACAGCTCTGGAGGAACACACAGGTACACACACACAGACACACATATATATAAAGTATACACATATATATATTTTTAAAAGCTTTTAAAGCAAAAGCCGGCCCTGCCCCTCTCCCAGAGTTGGCGGCCTCTCCCCTCTCTTAGGGTGGGTGGGGACAGTGGTTGCCTGGGCAGCTTTCCTTGTGAGCCAAAGGTCCCTCTGGACACATGATGCCTGGCCACGCCCCCTTTCCCTTTCATCTTTCTCATTAACCAATGGGCTTGGAGCATTAAGGCCACGCCCCTATTCTGCCTTCTACTGCATCCCTGGTTACGCCTCCTCTGGCTCAGTCGCACAGCTACCTGGTAGGTGACTGGAGGTGTTGATCAGTGCTTGGTGGGATTTTGCTGATGTGGCCCCAAGCCCGCCTCCCTCCCCACCCTGCGATGGCAGAAGAAACTCGACAAAGTAAATTGGCAGCAGCCAAGAGAAAGGTAAAAACACACCAGGTCACGGACCCCCAACCCAGCCATAGATCCTCTCCAACGACAAGACTGCTGCCAGAGTCCATACCACTCCCGAGGTTCACCGGACTGGGACCCCCACACCGGTGCCTCTGGGCTACCCCCACCAAAGTTTTGTCAGTCAGCCCCACCCCTTCAGCAAGCAGCCCAGTCTCTGCCCTCACCAATCACCCCAGGGTGACTTTGGGCAGGTGAATCCTGGGGCTCCCCGCTCCTTTACTGGGCCCTCATCTCCTGCCACCCCAAGCTTGACCTCCCAGGGCTTTTTGGGCTCACATCTCCAAGGACCTGGGTCCCACAGCCCCAGACCCCACCCTCACCAGTCATCCCTGGGTGACTTTAGGCTGGTGAATCCTGGGGCTCCCTGCTGCTGACTCTTCCCTTCCCTCCTGCTGCCTCAAGGTGGACCTCCCTAGGCTGTGTGCACTGGTGTCTCCAAGGACCTGGGTCCCAGCTCTGTTTTTCCCTCCCCTATCATGGAGCGGTGACTCGGACATCATGCTGATGTGGTCCCTCCCCCTCACCAGGAAGAGTGGAATGTAGTGATGTCACGGTCCATCCAGTAACTGTCATTACTGCAAGACTGGCCTTTGATCTTATGACCCAGTCCCCTAAGCATTGCCACCCCATTTCTGGTTCCTCTTGTCACAGCACAAATTTCCAGCTGGAAGGGGAATGGAGATTGGGACCTAGGAGCAAGAGGTTTCAGGCTGCCTCACTCCCTTAGCATAAACATTGACAGCGGGAAAAGCCTACACTTCCCCTGTGAGCTCAAAACATTGACAGTACCTCTGGATGGCAACTGGAGAATGGGTTTGACTTGGTTTGGTTTTCTCCCAGGCTTCTACTTTCCAGAGAGATTTTAACAAATTTTTTGTGAGTTCTCCACCTCACATTCTAATTCTCCATGGTTCTGGGACCAGACTGCCCTTCAGCCAGTGGTCTGTGAAGTGAGATTTGCTCATCTTCTGTGGAATAGATCTTGGGAAACTGAACTTGACAGCTTGAATCTTCCTCATATTATGTAAACCTGGGGTACTTTGAGTGCCACAGGATACATATGGGACATCTTTCTGAAGCATCAGTTTCCATTGATTCTCTTGAGATCAAGAGAAAAAACATTAATGTACTTAGGGATGACAGTCACATAGGTTTCTAACAGTATACCAGACTTCTCTCTGAAATGAGGCTTGGGTTGTCCTCTTTCTGATAAATTCCCAGATTTAACAGAAAGGCTGCCTTCTGCCATGAGGACACATTGATATAAGAGTTTGAGAGGTACTGGTGCACTTCTTCACACTAACAGACGTGTGAGGATGTATGACTAAACCACATGGCATACAGTTCCTGCCTACTTAATGTTTACTTTTCTACCTCTGCCTCTGGTTTTGGTCCCTGGCAGCTGATGATTCTTGGTAAAACCCCAGAGTTTGGAGTCAGAAGACTGAGTTTCAAAGTTCGTCTGTCGCCTTTTTCTTTTCTTCTTTTTTTTTCTAGCCATGATATCAATCTCTTTGAGTCACTAAATGATTGTGACAACACCTTGTACAGTTGTTGGTATCATTAAATCAGATGGTGTATAAGAGTATTTTATAAAAACTGTAAAGGAGGATGTGGCTGCAGGGGCTGATAGTTCTCATGAGTATTACTGCTCTTATTTCTGACAGTTAAAAGAATATTGGCAGAGAAACAGCCCTGGTGTTCCAGCAGGAGCCAAGAGGAACAGGAAAACAAATGGCAGCATCCATGAGACAGCCACTTCTGGTGGTTGCCACTCACCTGGAGATGTGAGTCTTGGCTGACTAGGTTCCTGGGGACAGGGGACCCAAGGGGCACTAGAGGGTAATTGTTAAGATTGTGGATGGACTGTTGGGTACCTGTGAAGAATTCTGGGTTTGAATCCTGCCTCTTTGTCTGCTAGGGATATGAATTAGGGCAAGTTGCTAGACCTCATCGGGCCTCTCTTTTCACATCTGTATAATAGAGGTGGTATTGTTTCACTTCCATTTGTGAAGTTTAAATGAGATTTGTTATTGTTGTTTTTATGTTAATCCCTAGTACATGGCCTGCTGTAAACACCCAGAACACCCAGGATATGGTCATTGCTGTTCGATTTTCCTCATCCCCAGTCTCAAGGGGAAGCCAGGACAATGAGAACAGTCACTTGGCACAGGAGTCACTGAAAGGGCCACAGGGTGCTGTGGTGGGGAGATAAGAACCATGAGAGAAGTTGGCACAAAGGAGTTATGGGACAAAGGGTCCAAGATAGGCAGAAAAGAAAATTGTGCCAGTTGATGGGGAAGAAAAGAAGTCAGAGGGCTTAGATACTGAGTGGGACAGAACATCTTCATGTGCACTCTCATCTCTTGTAGTCAGCAACAGGTATCCACGGGGAGAGCCCTACATCATCTGCTACCCTGAAGGATCTGGAGGTAAGAGGCTCTGGGCAGAGGTGCAGTGACCCTGCAGGCCAGCCCTCCAACCTCCTCCTCCAGGTGGGACGGGGTGCCCCTCTGCCAGCTGAGACAGTCCACACACACCCCAGCCCTAATGATTGCTCTCTCTACCTCTCCCCCCACTCCTCCTCCACCTCCTCCTCTCTGCATGCGCCTCAGAGCCCGTGCCAAGAACTAGCAGTAGTCCCAGACTCGAGGTCCGTAAAAGTCAGTCAACTGAAGAACACCATCAAATCTTTGGTAAGAGTCCACTGGGGTCCCCTGATTCCACGCTGCCAATCCTGGGCTCTAGTTTCCCCTTGGGGCCCTGAAGAAAGGGGACGGCGGCCCCTGGTGCCAAGGGCGAATAGGGAGCTGGGGCGCCCAGGCCTCACCTGGAGGGACCCCGGAGCATGCAGCATGGCTCTTTTTTTGCTGCCCTGTTTGCTGACTCTCCCCTCTCCAGACGCCCCTGCTCGAGTCCTTGCTACACACGCCCTGGGATTGTTGCCTCTTGGGGAAGTGCTAGCCTGACTGGTTGTCAGGGGCCCCGTATTTCTGCCATGACTCAGTCCCTAATTTGCTCTTTGATTCTGGACAAGCCACCTCTCCTTTTTGGGCTCATGTTTCCAGAGGAAGTAGTGAGTATCAAAGGTCTCTGTTAGCTCTCGAGTCTGAGATTTAAAGGCCTCCTAGAATGGAAACCTCAGGGCCAAAGGCTCCTGTCTGTCCTTTTCCGCCCTAAATCTTCTGTGAAGAACCGTACTTGGCCCGTACGTGCTCAGTAAATGTTTATTGAATGAATGCACTTTTCTAAATCACAAGCTGGCAGAAGGGGGGGCCTTTCTCAAACTCCATCTCTAGAGGTTTATGTTACTGTCCTGTCAAGAGATTCCAGATTCAGACCTTGAGTTCTGTGGCTGTGGACAAAAGCCAACAAAGACCCAAATCCTCTGTCCTTGGGAGCTTGAGGAGAGTTTACCAGTTCGAGTTCCCACTGGGTCTGAGAACTTTGCCTTTAAAATCCATTCCTGGCCCCTGCCTACCACTTCCTGCTCTGGGGAATAGAGTTGAGGGGGCCACCCTCCATCACCTTAATGTGACTCTCCCCACAGAAACAACAGAATAAACAAGTGGAACATCAGCTGGAAGAAGTAACATGATTTCTTTGTTTGCTCGCGACATGACTGCTCGGTTTGGGGGACACTCAGATGTAGAGGCCCCGAGTCTCGTCTCACCCACTCCCAGCCTGGGGAAGAAGGCTCACCCCCCAGAGTCCACCCCATCCCCCACAGGGTCCCTGATAACCCGGTCCCATGGGTGGGCCTGTCCCGGGGCAGGGGCAGTGGTGGCATTCTGGGGACATGTCTCTTGCAGTACCATCTCTGCCTCTGCCTGGTTAGATCTCTGTCTTCCTCTTCCTACAGGAAAAGAAAGCAAACAACGAGAAACAGAAAGCCGAAAGGGAGCTAGAGGTGAGTGGACGGTGTGCAGTTTTCTCCTGTCCTCCGGAGAATGTTTCTTTCCTTCTCTTTCAGCACTTGCTTGGCTTTTCTCCCAAAGGTTCAAATCCAGAGATTGAACATACAGAAAGGGAAACTAAATACGGACCTGTACCACACGAAACGTTCTCTCAGATACTTTGAAGGTGGGAATCTGGGTACCCTGTCATCCTTCAACCTGGCACTTTGACAGGTCTTCAGGGGGAGTCCTTTGGGCCCCATCTCAACTCTCTCATTACAGAAGAGTCCAAGGATCTGGCCGTCCGTCTGCAACATTCATTGCAGCGTAAAGGAGAGTTAGAGCGGGCTCTCTCTGCTGTCACCGCCACACAGAAGAAGAAGGCGGAGAGGGTGAGTCCAACCACCTGCCCCGTCCCCTGGGAGCCTGGCTTCGCAGACAGAGGAGTGAGCCTAAAGGTCCCTTCTGCAGGATGGAGTGTCCTGCCCAGAAGGCAGCATGGCCATTTCTCACTGCTTTTTTGTATGGTTGTTAGCGGCAGCTTGGGACTGAGTCAGCTGCTGTGGGTGAGTTGGGGGGCACTCTGGGGAGAGAGCACAGGACGTAGAGCTTGGAGGCCAAGTGCCTGCCATGCCTTTACCTGGCTGTGGTCTTGGCCAAGTCCTCAGTGGGTATTGGGTACTTGTACTGTGAAGGTACAGAAGAGTACCTTTAGTATGTTACCATTTCTGTAGAGAGAGGAAACGTGTGTGTGTGTGTACATATTATGATAATATACATAAAATATGTTTGCAAGTGTTCATAAAAACTCAGGAGAGAGCAACAGGGTGGCTGGGAGATACTTCCCTTCTGTACCTTCTGAGTTTGGGACTATGTGAATGTATTATCCTTTCAAAAAGTGAACAAAAGATTAATTTTCCCCTTCCTAGCTGTGCCCCCACCCCCAGCAAGAAAAATGGGCTTAGAGAATTGGATAGATCTGGGTGTTTAAATCCCAGCTCTGCCTAAGTGATCTTAGGCAAGCACTTAACCTCAAATACTCCATGTTTTTTCATCTACACAATAGAGGTCATCATAGTAACTGTCTCCCATGGTAGTTGCGAGGATTAAATGGGATTGCTAGCATGGTATCTGGTGAAGCACTCCATAAAAGTTCAAACAGTGGTAATAATAACAGTAATAACAATAGCAATATTATCTGATCTCTCTGGGCCTCTGTTAGCCAGCTATAAATTCGATCTCTTTCCCTGTCCCTTCCAACTTTACTGAGTTCTTTAAAAACCAAACCACGGGCTTGGAAATGCCTTGATCTTTACTGACCGAGTTGTATATTGGGCCTAGCCCTGGCCCTTTTAAGGGGCACTGTGTGGAATGGCCCGGCCTCACCAGATTGAAACTTCTCACTCTTCAGCAGTTCTCCAGCCGCAGTAAAGCACGTATGGAGTGGAAGTTAGAGCAGTCCATGCGGGAGCAGGCACTGCTGAAAGCGCAGCTGACACAGGTGAGGTGTTCAGAGGGAGGGATGTGGAAGGAAGATGACCCCAGGTAACCAGGAGCAGGTGAGGACCAGTGACAGCCCTTCCTAATTTCTGTGCCCATTCTTGCAGTTGAAGGAGTCACTTAAAGAAGTCCAGCTAGAGAGGGATGAATATGCTGAACATCTAAAAGGAGAGAGGGCCCGGTGGCAGCAGAGGATGAGAAAAATGTCGCAGGAGGTGAGATCTGACCCTTCAGCCCCCCCACATTAGATAGGTCACTGGATCTTTCTGGGCACCTGTAAAATGGGAATAGTAGAGCCAGAGGTGGTCCTGGGACTGGGCTTTGTGGAGGTGGGGGCAGAGAGGGAGATGGTAGCATGTCCAGCCTCCAGCCCCTCTCTCCAGGGCCCTTTCCCCCTGTGCTTTGGGCAGGTTTGCTCGTTGAAGAAGGAGAAGAAGCATGATAAATATCGGGTAGAGAAGCTGGAGAGGAGCTTGTCCAAACTCAAACACCAGATGGGTAAGATGGGGCTGGCGTGACCTGGCAGCAGGACTGGCATCAGAGGGCTGTGAGGGTGGCTTGGAGTGCCCCAGCGAGGTGGGTGGATGGAAGGGCTTTGAGGCAGAGGGAAAGAGGTCTGTGCCAGGAGACGGCAAGTCTTGTCATCTCAATGAGCCTCAGTGTCCCCATCAGCAAAGAGGGCCCGTTGTCAGCCACCCGCAGTGCTCTTTCTCTGAAAGTGCTTTGGAAGACTGGCTACCATCTGGGTGCGAGGAATCATTAGCAGTGAGGCTAAGTTTGAGGAGCCGGAGAGGAGCTGTGCGCCAAGAGGAGGGTTTTTTCTTTTCTTTTCTTTTCTTTTTTTTTTTTTGGAATCCAGAGGCTCTTATTGTCTGCTTCCTTTCTCAGCTGAACCTCTGCCCCCGGAGCCCCCAGCAGTGCCCTCTGAGGTGGAGCTGCAGCACCTGAGGAAGGAACTAGAGAGAGTGGCAGGAGAGCTCCAGGCCCAGGTGGAGTACAATCAGCGCATAAGTCTCCTGAATGAGGGGCAAAAGGAGAGGCTTCGGGAGCAGGAGGAGAGGCTTCAGGAGCAGCAGGAGAGGCTTCCAGAGCAGGAGGAGAGGCTTCAGCAGCTGGCCGAGCCACAGAACAGCTTCAAGGAGCTGGTGCGTTGCCCCAGCTGGGGAGCTTGCCCTCCTCCCTAGCCCTCCAGGCCTTTGTTTCCCCACCTATAAAATGGGGCAGTGTAGCCCTCAAGTGAAATGTTACTCCTAAAGGCACCTGTGAGCCAGAGCCCTGCTCTGGTGGCTGTGGGAGACAGGGGATGATTTTTCTAACCTGCCTCCACCCTTCCCGGTGCCATGGGAGGCAGTCACCAAGTTCTGGGGTCTCCAGCTGCAGTGGGTGGCTGCTGATTGCTTCTCTCTGTCCAGAACAATGAGAACAAGAGCGTACTACAGTTGGAGCAGCAAGTAAAGGAGCTGCAGGAGAAGCTAGGCAAGGTGAAGGAGACGGTAACCTCCACCCCATCCAAGAAGGTCTGGGAGGTGGGTGGGCACCAGCCTCTGGGGAGGGGAGGTGCCAGGCCAGCGGTAGCTCCAGCCCGGGGGCAGGTGACCCCAGCACCCTCCAGGGCAGTCCTGTGGCTGTTTCTTGCTTCCTGCCCTCTGATTTTAGAGGTGGGTAGCCCTGGGCTCCTCCCAGGTCTGGACATCATCATTCCAGCTAGAGACATGGAGCCCCCCCAATCACAGGGGAAGAGACAGAGTGGTATAACAGTCTTCTTATGCCAGATGCGGTGGCTTACGCCTATAGTGCCAACACTTTGGGAGGCTGAGGCAGGAGAATCACTTGAGGTTTGGAGTTTGAGATCAGCCTGGCCAACATGGTAAAACCTCATCTCTACTAAAATTACAAAAACAAAAAACAAAAAAAGAAAGAAAAATTAGTGGGGCATGGTGGTGGCGCATGCCTGTAATCCCACCTACTCAGGAGGCTGAGGCACGAGAATTGCTTGAGCCCAGGAGGTGGAGGTTGCAGTGAGCTGAGATTGCACCACTGCACTCCTGCCTGGGCCACAGAGTGACACTCTGTCTCAAAACAAAACAAAAAGACTCCTTAGATTAAAACTGGATTCCAGCCTCAGTTCCACTGGTCACCATTCAAGTACTTCGCATCTCTAAGTCTCTGTTTCTTTAACTTCAAAAGGAAGTTAGCATTTTCCTTACAGAGGTGCTGAGGATTAAATGAGATAATACATGGGAAGCATTAGGCCTGTAGCACATTTAGCAGATGGTGGTTGGCTCCCATACTTTTCTACCATTCTGTGGCCTACAGTTGAAATGGTGGGAAGAGGACATGAGATTTGAGGCTGGGGAAGGAGGCATGGGGTTCTAGGAAAGCAAGGCAGTCACTTAGGCCTGAAGTAAGGGGCCAGGGGCCTGGGCAGGCGACAGAGCCCCACAGTGCCCTCGCTACCCTATTAATGGGCCCAGAATCTGCAAACCAGCCACCACGTGCCCTCACACCCAGGGTCTTCCTGCAGGTGGAGCTGAAGAGCCAAGAGGCTCAGAGTCTGCAGCAGCAGCCAGACCATTACCTGGGTCACCTGCAGCAGTACGTGGCCACCTATCAGCAGCAGGTGGCCGCCTATCAGCAGCTGACCTGTGAGAAGGAGGCGCTGTACAGGCAGTGACTGCAGCAGACCCAGCTAATGAACCAGTTGCAGCAGCAGGAAGCTTGGGGCAAAGCGGTGGCCGAGATGGCCTGCCAAAAGTTGCAGGAGACCCAGGGGAGGGAGCTGCCGAGGATGGGGCTGTGAGGGGGACGACCTGGCAAACTCTGTGCCTTCTCACTCTTTCCTGGCCCCTTAGGAGCGTCTGGAAGCTGCGAGCCAGCAGAAACAGCAGCTAACGGCCCAGTTGAGCCTCATGGCTCTCCCTGGGGAAGGTACGGGAGACCGCTCAGAGGAAGAGGAGAGAGCCCCAGGAGGAAGGGGGGACTGCTAGCAGCATAGGATTGAGGAGTTGGAAGAGACCTTTAGAACAGCTGGTCATTATACTAACCGGGTGCCTGCACTAAGTTCAGCATCAATATGGTGACCTCCTGTGAGCGGGGGGCCACCAAGTTGCCTAAGGATGGCTGAACTGGCCGAGGTCAGAAAGGGAGCAGGTCAGAACTCCCGCACCGACCAGTAGTGGGAATGTGCCTGGGCAGTATAGCAAGATCTTGGTTCTTCAAAGTAAAAATAAATAACAGCAGCTCATTCCTCTCTGGGGAGGGCCTGGCTCAGGGTTACACAATGAGGGTGGAGGCAGAGGTGGGCCCACAATACTTCCCTTGTTGAGTTGTCTGAGGACCCCTCTGGCCACCACCCCCACCCCCAGGAGATGGAGGAGGACATCTGGACAGTGAGGGGGAGGAGGCACCTCGGCCCATTCCTAGCATCCCACAGGACCTGGAGAGCAGGGAGGCCATGGTAAGCCTGACTCCACCTGAACCCATTTTGCCTCCTTCCTCTGTGGTCCCTCCAAGACCCCTTTATGCTCTTCGTTTCCCTGCCTTCTGATTTCTCTGGACCCTCACCCCTTCTGGGAGCCAGTGGTCAGACACCATTTCACCTGTGACCAACATGTGCAGTCTCTGGGGCCCCAAGGGAAGGGGCTGCGCTCCACCTCTCTGCCCCATTTGTTCTGTGTATGCCCCTGCAAGAATGCTCACATCTTGCCCTCAGGTGGCATTTTTCAAGTCCGCTGGAGCTAGTGCCCAGGAGAAGCAGGCACAGTTACAAGAGCAGGTGAAAGAGCAGAGGGTGTGCTGCCAGCGCCTGGCTCACCCGGTGGCCTCGGCCCAGAAGGAGCCAGAGGCAGCCAGAGGCCCTGGAGCCCCAGGGCCTGGGGGCGAGTCTGTGAGTGGGGAGACCCACCGGGCCCTGCAGGAAGTCACGGAGAAGCTGGCCCATGCCGGAACTCACCTCCGCCTTCTCCATGACTTGAAAATGCCACCTGAGGGCAGGTCGCTGGCGAGATGTGACCCCATTATTTTGGCTCCAGAGCGGCTTTATGGACCACCTGGAGGAGAAGGCAGACCTGAGTGAGCTGGTGGAGAAAGAAGAACTTGGATTCTTCCAGTACTACAGAGAGAGATGCCATCAGTGAGTGGGAGGCCAGGGCATGGCAGGGGGAGCTGCAGGGCTGTTGGAGGGGCCCCAGCGTCTGAGCCCTGTCCTCCCGCAGGAAAGTTTATCACCCTATAACAAAGCCAGGGGGCAGTGCCAAAGATGCAGCACCGGGAGGAGGACACCATCAGGCTGGCCCTGGACAGGGAGGAGATGAAGGTAGAGTGTGCAACATCTCTGCGGGGGTGGGGGTGGCTGTGACGGTGAGCGCTGGCAGCAGCGTGACAGCTGAGCACCCCTCCCTCCAGGTGAAGCTGCTGGAGCTGCAGGAGATGGTGTTGCAGCTGGTGGCGACTACAAGGGACACAGCAAATTCTTGGTGACTGCCCAGAACCCTGCTCATGAGCCCAGTCCAGGAGCCCCAGCCCCCCAGGAGCTTGGGGCTGCCCACAAGCATGGTGGTGAGTAGAGCCCTCAGGCGGGGTGGGCAGGCAGGAGCAGGGGGGCTCTCACTGAGCTCAGATCCCCGCCTCCCTCTCTCCAAAGATCTTTGTGAGGTGAGCCTCACTGACAGCGTGGAGCCTGTGCAAGGAGAGGCCAGGGAGGGTTCTCCCCACGACAACCCTACTGCACAGCCGATCGTGCAGGACCACCAGGAGCACCCAGGCTTGGGCAGCAACTGCTGTGTGCCATTCTTTTGCTGGGCTTGGCTGCCAAGAAGAAGGAGATAAACATCACCATCGTCAAAGAGCTGCTGAAGAAATTTTTAAAAAAGAAACAAAGTTATGGGGTTAATCTCCTACACAATTCATTTACTTCATTTGAATGTTATAGCCACTTATGATTATTTGTGTTTCTAATTTATAGTTTAAGTTCATTTGTAAATAGTTAAAAGAGAGTGGGTCTCTGTGGCTTTCACTGATGTTCACTCTGGCATACTTTCGCAATTTTCTTTTTCAATTTCATAATTGTAGGTCATTAGCATGCATATTGAGTTTGCCCTTACGTGGTGGGAGTTCAAACACACAAAGACCCACTATTTGCACAAAACTATTCTTGCTGGTTTGGAATAGGCTGCCATGTGTTTTTAATGTTATTGCAGCATGTATATTCATTACAGAATTCAGATAAAATGTGCCTATGTTCTGCTGTTGTTTGATCTAATCTTAATCACAGTGAGCTCTTCATTAGCACAATATGTGGTTTGCCCCAAGTGTGCACTATTTAATACTTTGTAATATGCCACCAAGAGTACTGACATTTAGAGTTGTTTAAAGGCCGAGAACTGGAAACAGCCTTTTCCTCATTTTCTGTGTATTGGTGATGGGAGTAATAACATTTTGGGGGAGCTTTTTAAATTTCACAGAAGAGGAAAGTTGCCTGCTCTGGCAGGTATGTGCAAGATAGAGTGTGTTTCATTTGTTCTGTTGCCAAGAATTAGTGCTGTACTATTGTAGTTCCTTTAGGATTTGTATGTGCTCTGGGCTCATGAAGATATTGCATCATGAGCTTCAGCAGTTGTACTCTTTTTTGATGACCTAAAAAGGGCTTATTTCTGAGGAATGAAAGGTTCCCATCATTGACTACGGTTGTGGAAAACCTTTCCTAGCTTAGAGCATTTGTATCTATATTTTAAAGTCAGAGTTCATGTTACCTGTTTTAATCACATGACTGCATGTCCCAGTACACAAAAGGGCACTGGTTGGCATTCTTCTTAATGTATTTAGTAAAGATCATAAGAAATCCTTTAAGAGTTCAAATGTCCCTGGAACAGGCATACAGGCTCTAGTCAAGAATGAATTAGAGTGAAGGAAAGCTGTGTGACACCTGGCATTCCTCTGTTCATGGAGCTTCTTTGAGGCTTGAAGATTGATTTTACCATCTAGACCACTCTGCCTATTCTTCAACCACCTTGGTTACTTTGACATAGGAATTGACTTCTTTTCCTTGAATGGAAAACACTTTGAAATAATAATAAACATTGTTATAAACTAATATATGTGAGAGTGCTTAGTTGAAACAAAAAGGAGTTTTAGTAGACAGTATTATACTATCTTTGAAAATCAAGGAGAAGTTTATGCAACTTAAAATGTGTACAAACTGCAGTGCAATCTACTGTTGGTGAATGTCAGTGTATTATCAGGAAACATGTCTATACAATCACAGAGTTATATTTCCTCACAAACTTCTTTGTGAAGAGTGAAATGTGTTTCTGTACCTCTGGGTTTCACTTACGGGCATATTTTGTGCAGTATTTATGTGATTGTGCCTATGCATGATGAATGAATGAATTTCAGTTGTACATTGCCTAAATCATAACTTGATGATGCTTGGGAAAGACTCAACAGTTAAAACTTCATGAAGTTCTAATGTCTGTGTTCCAAAACACATCACATTATTAGGATGTAGGGAGATATGTATGTGTGCTCCCTGGGGTGGGGATTTCTAGTTACTAGACCATCTCCATTTTTAGCATTTGGCATCCTCATGATACTTTTATAAATACGACATTAACAGGAGAGCAGCAGTACGATTTTGCCGATGGAATAACAGATTTGCCGGCAATCACTGAAAGAGTGCAAACATCGGGTCCTTGTGACTTCAACGGACTCTTCCAAATTGTATGAATGTATCAATGTATTAGATAAACCCAGTTTCAGAATGATAAAGAAAAAATGTTAGACCAAATAATGCGGCTAGTTAACAGTGGTACGATTTCTCGCCCGTGGCTTTAAAATGCACTTAAAGTCCTGTCCTTGCCTTTTATTTTCTGAACTTGATGTTTTTGCATTCTTTGAGTTCAGTTTAAAGACAACTACGAGCATCTGTAACCAATCTGACAATAATGTGTTCATCAGGTGCCTGTGGATTAAATCACATACTGGCATATTTAAGCTGAATGTCAATCTGGAAAATAAATTGACTGTATTAACGGAAATACCACTCTTTGTGTAGATATTTGTCGTATATTGAAGAAAAAGCTAAAAAGAATGGAAATCGCATGACTATAACTTA
Organism: Homo sapiens; assembly: GCF_000001405.40. NCBI lineage: Eukaryota > Metazoa > Chordata > Mammalia > Primates > Hominidae > Homo > Homo sapiens. The sequence continues at coordinate 219,868 of NW_003315943.1, read as the reverse complement.
AGTCTTTCTTCAAAGTGCATGCAGTCTTTTGCGATACCTCATTCAGCCAAGTATTGGTATTCTTCCTCATTCGGTATAAGGCAGCTTTCAATTTGCTTAGAGGGCAACATTGGAAGGTTAGAGTTCATCAGAAACAGAATTCTAAAATGTGAGTTCAATTCAATAAATTTGAATTTCTGTAGGAAGAATCAAATCACCGATTTAAAGATTGCAATATATAATAATCATTTTTAAAGTATTGGATTAAATCTGATAGGTTTTCCAGAAATGAACAAAAATCAGCTCTAAAACCAAAGCTGATTTTTAGAAAATTTGAAAATGTAAATCAGCCCTATCCATACTATAGTTTCTCTAAAACTTTATCTGAAAGAGTCATTTTAAAATAACTATTAAACAATGTAACTGCTATCTTAATGTTCTGAAATAAGTTAAAACATTTTAAAATATGAATACTGTAAAGGAAATAAACGGTGGGAAGGAAAAGTAGAGAAAGAAATGCCAATTCCAGTCCAAAGCTTTATTTGCCAAGTTTTCTTAGAATGAATTTTACCAATTTATGAATTCTTGTAAGCGGAATGTAAAACGGAAATACTGAAAGACTTTTGCCTAAAGTGGCATTATTGACTGCTGGTGTGATGCTACTGTAATGTAATAAATTATTAAGTTGTTGCAAAGTGCTGTTTTTGCCTTAAAATTTTATTCTGTGTGTCTTCAAAAATATAGTATTAAAGGTATTGATACTGTGCAAATGCTGAGCATGCTTGGCATGAGATAATGTTTCATTTTTACAAAATTGTAATATAACTATGCAAGGGTTTATTAAAAGAACACAAAATAAAAAAGTTATGGGATTAACAAAAGTTATGGGGTGAAAAAGTTATGGGATAAAAAATGTAAAAAAGTTGTGGCAAAAAAATCTTGTGACCAAAAAGTAGAAGAAAGTTTTATGAAAAGTTACCAAAAAAAGTTATGAAAAAGAAGTTATGGGATTTAAAAAAAAAGGCATGGGATAAAAATAAAAATTAAAATTAAAAGCAGGCCCCTGTCAGCAAAGCCTGGAGAAGTGGGGCTGGGGTCTCCACCACCACACTGTCCCTATCTCCCCTTCCCAGTCACCCCTTTACAATTAGGGTAGCAGGACAAGACCTCTGTCTAACGAGGAAAGACAAACAGACCCTTTGCCACCTTGACCAGAGCTGAGTCCTTAAATTTCTGGATGATATTGTTATTTAAGAGCCAGAGGCTGGTGGAGTTGGTTTGTTTGGAGGAGGCCTCATGGCCTCCTTACTCTCACCATAGCAACTTTTCCCTCAGTGGGGGCTCCAATCTTCTTATTCAGAGAGGTAGCTGAGGCAGGACAGTGGGGCTAACTGTGGACCAGGCGAAGGCATGGGCTGCTGGGGTGGCCCCCCTTCCCCGGTGTATATATTGTGTCTGTGTAAGGTTTTGTATATTCCAGAGGGTAGGGCCACCCCTGTATCATACCTAGCGGTGGTTGGAGGTGGCACATGGGGAGGAGGTTCTAATAATTATTTGTGGCTGGGAAACTTACTTATTGCTAGCATAGGACAGAGGAAGAAGGCAGGGATGGGGTCATGGCTTCCCAGTGGTGTGATCACAGTTCACTGCAACCTCCAACTCTCATGCTCAAGTGATCCTCCCACCTCAGCCTCCCAGGTAGCTGGGAGTATAAGCATGCACTACTATGCCTGGCTAATTTTTAAATTTTTTGTAGAGAAAAGGTCTTGCTATGTTGCCCATGCTGGTCTTGAACTCCTGGGCTCAAGCGATTCTCCCATCTTGGCCTCCCAAAGCACTGGGGTTACAGGCATGAGACATTGCTCCTGTCCATAAGATTTTCTCTTTATTACTGTTTTGTTGTTGGTGGTGGTGTTTTGTTTTGTTTTTATTTTTTGACAGAGTCTCGGTCTGTTGCCTAAGCTGGAGTGCAGTGGTGCAATCTCTGCTCACTGCAACCTCCGCCTCCTGGTTCAAGCAATTCTTATGCCTCAGCCTCCCGAGTACCTGGGGTTATAGGCATAAGCCACTGCGCCTGGCTAATTTTTGGATTTTTAGTAGAGACAGAGTTTTGCCATGTTGGCCAGATTGGTCTTCAACTCCTGGCCTTAAGCAATCCGCCCTCCTCAGCCTCCCAAAGTGCTGGGATTACAGGTGTGAGCCACTGCTCCTGGCTAAGATCCCATCTCTATTTAAATAAAAAAAGAAAATTCAGAATCTATGGAACACAGAACACCAAAGGCCAGTTATTTACCTCTCTGAGGTAATCTGTGTAAACAATTTGATATATATCCTTTCAAGTTCATACTTGCTATGCATACATATATATACACACATACATTGACATATTCCCCCTTCCCTGCCGTCATGCTATTAGTCTTCTTTTTTTTGTAGAAATTGGACCAACTCTATGTTCTTTGCTGGCCCGTATTTCTCCTATTCAGTGATGTGTTATGAATATCTGTTTAAGTCAATGTATGCAACTCTTTAATATCATTTTAAAAGGTTACGACATACGATCATATGAAGGCATTAGAATTTATTCCAACAGTTCCCTTTTGCACATTTAATAATTTCCATTGATTTGCCAGGAAGAACATTCTCGTGTCATGGCTAAATCCTTTTGTATGGACATCCTTAATTATTCCCTTAAGATAAACTTTTAAATAAAGTTGCTAGATTAGTCTCGTTTCTTAAGTTCTTTTTTGGTAGTTTATATGTAACACTGTAGTTTTATATGTACTTACAAATACCTATAGTGCCAGTAGAAAATGGGATAAAATTAAACTCTTTCACATATGCCAAATATATTTTGATTTAGCGCTTTATTAAGTGCATGATTACAGTCTCTGTATCTTTTGATTTACCTTTCTATCTTTACAATTTTCAGCCGAGATACTTAGAGGTCACATGATAAATTAAGGTTTTCTTTTTTTAATAATCTCCATCTTTCTAAATATGGTGAGTCACAGTCAGCTATTTTTGGATTGTTGAAAGCTGTGACTGTTCTAAATCGGAGCCCAGAAATCACGCCACTTACCAAATATGCTTTGTCTTCCAACATCAGAGTGTCTGGTAGAAGGTGACTGTTCTTGGAATTTAAAAAATCTGAACAGGACAAGACAAGAATCTGGACACTTTTTCTGTTTCTGATAATATGATTGAGTAGGTAGACACGCTGGATAATCCTTGCAAAGACATACTTGAACTTCCCAAAAAAAAAAAAAATAAAATCCAGAATCTCTAAGAATGAAGATGGAGTGAAAATCAGAAGGGCTGCTGAGAGAATAATGGGGAAGCAGCCCCAGTTATCAAGGGACATGTCCATGTGTTCAATAGAAAGTTTCAGATGTAAAAAAAAGTTGAGAAAAATAATATATATATTATATATAATAAATGATATAATTGCCCTACATATACACATCATCAACAATTTTTCATTCATGGTATGGACAGTTTTTTTTTTTGGTTGTTTTTTGTTTGTTTGTTTGTTTTTAAAGGTGGGATTTTGCTGTGGTTGCCCAGGCTGGAGTGCAGTGGCATGATCTTGGCTCACTGCAACTTCCACCTCCCAGGTTCAAGCGATTCTCCTGCCTCAGCTTCCCGAGTAGCTGGGATTACAGGCACCCGGCACCACATCCGGCTAATTGTTGTATTTTTAGTAGAGATGGTGTTTCACCACGTTGGCCAGGCTGGTCTTGAACTCCTGACCTCAGGTGATCCACCTGCCTCGGTCTCCCAAAGTGCTGAGACTACAGGCGTGAGCCACCACACCTGGCCACAGCCAGTTTTGTTTCATTTATATTCCCACTTCATTTATATACATTCCTTCTTCCTCTGAATTATTTTGAAGTAAAACCTATACATCCTATCATTTTTAATTACCTTATATGTATCTGTAGAAGACAAGGAATTCTTAAAAATAAATATATTCACAATGCCATTAAATATCAAAAAATTAATATTCTGAAAATAGCCACAAATCCAGAGTTGACATTTTGTTGACTTTCTCATAGGTGATTTTTTTTCTAGTTTATCTATTTCAATCAGATAACTGTTTGCTCATATTTACATTCCTTACTGAACAATGTCTAAACTTAAACTGACATAAAATGGAGATGATCTTCTAACCAGATGCTTAGTGTAAGAAAAAACTTCAAACTGCAAGAGGAGTCCCTCCAAATACAGAAAGGACCAGTATTTTAAGAGGTATGTTAACTAAAATGTGGCAATGTAAGGAGCAAAGCAGGAAGAACCTTTAAGTCCTAAACTTACAAGTCAATTTCATAGTCAGTTTCCCTGGTCCTTCCACAACAACCTCCCCCATCTGTTTTCTCTACAATGGAGGTAACAATAGTAGCTATTCCAGAGCAGGAAAAGGCTTAGAGCAGTGCTAGAAGAGGGTCGTGGCTATATAAAGTTTAGCTATTTGTATATTGTAACAAACTAACTTTTTTTGGTCAATAATAGATTTCTGTTGGAAAAGTAGCAGCCTCCTGTCTGGGGACACCTGCAGTTCCACTAAGTGAACATTGGTGTCTGCTAACCTTTGCCTCTATTTCTCTCAATATACTGTGAAGCTGTTCCTGGATTTAGCAATTTTATATACTTCTTTTTATTATTCTTTTTTTCCTTTCCCTTTTCCTGAGACACAGTCCTGCTCTGTCACCCAGTCTGGACTGCAGCAGCGCCATCATGGCTCACTGCCACCTCCACCCCGGGCTCAAGCAATCCTCCTGCATCAGCCTTCAGAGTAGCTGGGACTACCCAGGGGGGCCCACCAGGTCTGGCTAATCTTTGTGGTTTTTGTTTTGTTTTTCCGTTAAGGGACTGGGTTTCCGGCCAGGCACAGTGACTCACGCCTGCAATCGCACCACCCCTGGAGGCCGAGGCCGGCGGATCTCCCCAGGTGAGGAGCAGGAGACCAGCCCGACCAACATGGAGAAACCCCATCTCAACCTAAATAAATAAATAAATAAATAAATAAATAAAAGTAGCCAGGCTTGGTGGCTCACGCCCTTGATCCCAGCCACTCAGGAGGCTGAAGCAGGAGAATCACCCAAACCCGGGAGGCGGAGGCCCGGCGAGCCGAGACCGCGCCACTGCACTCTAGCCTGGGCAACAAGAGGGAAACTCCGTCTCAAAAAAAAAAAAACAGGTTTCACCATGTTGCCCAAGCGGGTCTGGATCTCCTAGGCTCAAGCGATTTGCCACACTCAGCCGTCCAAAATCCTAGGATCACAAGCGTGAGCCATGACGCCAGGCCGATCTATTCCTGTCTGATTAAAAATTGGGCCGGTTGCGGTGGTTCACGCCTGCGATCCCAGCACCCCGGGAGGCTGAGGCGGGCGGATAACCTGAGGTCAGATTGAGGCCAGCCTGAGTAACATGGAGAAACCCCATCTCTACCAAAAAAAAAAAAAAAATTAGCAGGGCATGGTGGCTCACGCTTGCAATCCCAGCCACTCGGGAGGCTGAGCCAGGAGAACCACCCAAACCCGGGAGGCTGAGGCTGCGGGGAGCTGAGACCCTGCCACTGCACTCCAGCCTGGGCAACAAGAGTGAAACTCCCTCTCAAAAAAAAAAAAAGAGAGAGAGAGAGAGACTGAGTTTCACCATGTTGCCCAGGCCGGCGTGTAACTCCTAGGCTCAAGGGATCCGCCGCGCTCGGCCATCGGAAGTCCTGGGATCACAAGCATGAGCCGCCACGCCAGGCCCATCTGTTCCTTTCTGATTAATAAATTGCGCCCGGCGCGGTGGCTCCCTCCTGCAACCCCACCACCCTGGGAGGCCGAGGCGGGCGGATCACCTGAGGTCGGGAGTTTGAGACCAGCCTGACCAACATGGAGAAACCCGTCTCTACCAAAAAAGAAAAAAAAATAAGCTGGGCATGGTGGCTCACGCCTGCAATCCCACCACCCCGGGAGGCCGAAGCAGACGGGTAATCTGAGGTCAGGAGTTTGAGACTACCCTGACGAAGGGAGAAACCCCGTCTATACCAAAAAAAAAAAAAAAAATACAAAAAGAGCCGGGCATGTTGGCTCATGCCTGCAATCTCAGCCACTTGGTAAGCTGAGGCAGGAGAACCACCCAAATCCCGGAAGCGGAGGCCGCGGGGAGCTGAGACCGCGCCACTGCACTCCAACCGGGCAACAAGAGTGAAACTGCCGCAAAAAAAAAAAAAGAAAAAAAAAAAAAAGAGAGCGGGTTTCACCGTGTTGCCCCGGCCTGTCTGGAATTCCTAGGCTCAAGGGATCCCCGGCCCTATTCCTTTCTGATTTATAGATTAGGCCTTGCGCGCTGGCTCACGCTTGCAATCCCAGCACCTCCGGACGCCGAGGCGGGCGGATAACCTGAGGTGGGAAGTTTGAGACCAGCCTTATGAACATGGAGAAACCCCATCTCCAACAATAAAAACAAAAACAAACAAAAAACAAAATGAGCTGGGCATGGTGGCTCACGCGTGCAATCCCAGCCACTCGGGAGGCTGTGGCAGGAGAACCACCCAAACCCTGGAGGCGGAGGCCCGTTGAGCCAAGACCTCACCACTGCACTCCAGCCTGGGCAACAAGAGCGAATCTCCGCCTCAAAACAAACAAAAAGTGACCAGGTTTCACCATGTTACCCAGGCAGGTCTGGAACTCCTAGGCTCAAGCGATCCGCCGCGCTTGCCGTCCAAATTCCTGGGATCACAAGTGTGAGCCACCATGCCAGGCCGATCTAGTCCTTTATGATTAATAAACTGGACCGGGCGCGCTGGCTCACGCCTGCAATCCCAGCATCCCCAGAGGCCGAGGAGGCGGGCAGATAACCTGAGGTCGGGAGTTTGAGACCAGCCTGATGAATATGGAGAAACCCTGCCTGTACCCCCCCCCGCCAAAAAAAAGAGAGACCGGGTTTCACCATGTTGCCCAAGCCGGTGTGGAACTCCTAGGCTCAAGTGATCCCCAGCGCTCGGCCGTCCGACGTCCTGGGATCACAAGCGTGAACCACCACGCCAGGCTGATCTATTCTTTTCTGATTAATCAATTGGGCCTTGCGCGCTGGCTCACGCCTGCAATCCCAGCATCCCCGGAAGCCAAGGCAGGCGGATAACCTGAGGTCCTGAGTTTGAGACCAGCCTGACCAACAGGGAGAAACCCTGTGTGTACCAAAAAAAAAAAAAATTAGCCGGGCATGGTGGCTCACACCTGCAATCTCAGCCACTAGGGAGGCTGAGGCAGGAGAACCACCCAAACCCAAGAGGTGGAGGTGGCAGGGAGCCGAGACTGCACCACTGCACTCCAGCCTGGGCAACAAGAGCAAAACTCTGCCTCCAAAAAAACAAAAAAAAGAGAGAGACCGAGTTCCACCATGTTGCCCAGGCCAGTCTGGATCTCCTAGGCTCAAGTGATCCCCAGTGCTCCATCATCCAAAGTCCCTGGATCACAAGCGTGAGCCACCACGCCAGGCCGATCTATTCCTCTCTGATTAATAAATTAGGCGGGGTGCAGTGGCTCACACCTGCAGTCCTGTAGAGGGATTTTTAAGGAATTAGATAGACTCATGGGGTTTAGGAGGACATTTATTAATTATTTAGGTGCACCGGCCCAGTCGGATTAACATTTAAAGGATTGAGCACTGAACCAAGAGTTACCTTTCAAGCATTATGTGGGGCGAAGGGGGAGATCTGTGCAGGGAGAAGCATATTATAGAAGCGAGAAACAAAGATTGTTATTTAATTGAAACATGCATTATATTATTTTTTACTATTTAAGGAAAAATATGTTTTGTGACTTGAGTTTATTTGTTTAGTGACCTTGTAGTTGCACAGTTAAGGAATTAGTCGGGCATGGTGGCTCACACCGCAATCCCAGCCACTCAGGAGGCTTTGGCAGGAGAACCACCCAAACCCCGGAGACGGAGGTCTGGCAAGCTGAGACCTCGCCACTGCACTCCAGCCTGGACAGCAAGAGCAAATTTCCCCCTAAAAAAAAATATATATGACTGGGTTTCACCATGTTGTCCAGGCCGGTCTGGAACTCCTAGGCTCAAGCAATCTGGCTCTGGATGTCTTTAACTTGTGATTGAAAGCGTATTAAGATGTTGGGTGTATCAACAGTCCGGAGGACAAGAAGGAAAATCCTGGCATGTGAAATATTCTGCAACAAGAAAAGCAATCGGAGAGGTGACTACATTCACTCAGCTGTTTTGCCCTCTTCTTCCCCACCCCCCACCCCCCCGTCTCTTTCCTGGAAGTTCCCTAGTAAGAAGTAAAAGAGATAATGGCTTTCGAGTGCATGTTTTTCCTGGAATTGGAAGGAATTTTAACAAAGGAGCCCTTCACAATGAAACCCCCCCACACCCCTGCTTTTCACCTGAAGTAGGACAAGATCGTCGCCCCCACCATCATTCTCCACGTGACCCCAGGTGGGGATGGGTAGTGGACACTACTGATAAGCTCTCAGCAATTTCCCTATTTGTGGACTCTGAAGCTCCTTAGCTTGACAACTGATGCATAAGTTTTCTTTTGTGGGATAAGAATAGGAGAATAGGTGACCTTTTCCCCCTGAATTCCCATCCTGGGGCCAGGGAAGAGAGCCCAGGATCCCTTCTCTTGGCCTTCACACTGTGGGAAAGAGTACCTAGAGTTAAAAGCCTGATAAATGCCCTCGAACAGCTTTGAAAATCACAAGGTCAGGAGATCGAGGCCATCCTGCCTAACACGGTCAAACCCGTCTCTACTATAAAAAAAAAAAAAAAAAAAAAATACAAAAAATTACCCGGGCATGGTGGTGGGCGCCTGTAGTCCCAGCTACCTACCGGGGAGGCTGAGGCAGGAGAATGGTGTGAACCCGGGAGGGGGACCTTGCAGTGAGCTGAGATCGAACCACTGCACTCCAGCCTGGGCGACAGAGCGAGACTCAGTCTTAAAAACAAACAAACAAAAAAAAAAAGAAAAGAAAAGAAAAGAAAAAAGAAAAATCACTCGGCGTGAGCGCTTGCCCCCTGAACAAATGTCCAAGTGTATCACTATGGGAATGCCTCTTGGGTCACAGACACAGAGGTAATTCTCTTTGTAAATAGATTCATGTCATTTGTCTCGTTTCTGAACAGTTTCAAAAGAATTATTTGGTGAAGTCAGTTTCCTAGGAGAATCCATCACATTTCCCCAGAGGTATTTCCACCCTTGCAAACCATTAGATAAAGAACAGGCCACGCACAGTGGCTCACACCTGTAATCCCAGCACTTTGGGAGGCCAGGCGGGTGGATCATGAGGTTAGCGGATCGAGACCATCCTAGCTAACAGTGTGAAACCCCGTCTCTACTAAAAATACAAACAATTAGCCAGGTGTGGTGGCAGGTGCCTGTAGTCCTAGTTACTCAGGAGGCTGAGGCAGGAGAATGGCATGAACCTCGGAGACGGAGCTTGCAGTGAGCCAAGATTGCGCTACTGCACTCCAGCCTGGGCGACAGAGTGAGACTTTGTCTAAAAAAATAAAAAAACAAAAACACGTAAAGAACAAATTAGTCCTCGTGGTAGGCCACCCCCACCCCATCTCCAGTTCACCACTTCAATCATACTACTTTCTCAGTGGACTTGAAGCCAAGCTTTCACATCAGAGCCCTCCAACCAAGAGCCTGACTGTATAACTCCTAAGAACAATCAAGTAAGAATGTTTTTCTTTCCATTCCTCACATCTGGTATCTGTTGCCTTGTGAATGGGGTGCCCATCAGCAGGAAGGGTTAGAACTAGGGTAAGTGTGTAGGGAGCAAGGCTTGAAAAGAAACAGATGAGGAAAGAGTAGCAAAATCAAGACTGTCCCAGGAAGTGAGTGTCAGTCAAAGGTTTTGAAATCCCTCAAATAGTTACTTCTGCTGTCTTGGTTTTGTCCACCTCCCTTCTTTTTTCACATACCTGCCACCCTAAAAAGTAATACCTATGCCTAACATAGAGCTAACCAGTTAAAGAACTGCTAGTAACTTTAGAAAAGAGTCCATTTCCCATCAGAATCAGAACAAAATCTTTTTAAAAAAATTATTTTTGGCCAGGCATGGTTGTTCACACCTGTAATCCCGGCACTTTGGGGGGCTGAGGTGGGTGGATCACTTGAGGTCAGGAGTTCAAGACCAGCCTAACCAACATGGTGAAACCATGTCTCTGCTAAAAATACAAAAATCAGCCGGGTGTAGTGGCATATGCCTGTAATCCCAGCTACTCAGGAGGCTGAGGCATGAGAATCACTTGAACCTGGAGGCAGAGGGTGCAGTGAGCCAATATCGTGCCACTGCACTCCAGCCTGGGTGACACAGCGAGACTCTGTCTCAAAAAAAACACAAAAACATATATATATATATATATATATATGTATATATATATACATATATATATATATATATACATATATATATATATATACATATATATATATATATAAAATATAAATATATATACATATAAATTTTTTCAGGCGGGGGCAATGGCTTATGCCTGCAATTTTAACACTTTGGGAGGCAGAGGTGGGAGGATCATTTTACCTAGGAGTTTGAGACCAGCCTGGGCAACATAGTGAGATCTTGTCTCTACAAAAACAGTTTTAAATTAGTCAGGCGTGGTGGTGCATACCTGTAGCCCCAGCTACTTAGGAGGCTGGGGCAGGAGAATCCTGCTGCTGCATTTTGTGCTACTTTTAAAAATATTTGGTAAAATTCAGGAGTAAAGCCGTCGGGTCTTGGGCTTTTCTTTCCCGGGAAACTTTTTTTTATTTTTTGAGAGGGCGTCTCGCTCTGTCGCCCAGGCTGGAGTGCAGTGGCCTGATCTCGACTCACTTGCAGGCTCCGCCCCTCAGGTTCACGCCATTCTCCTACCTCAGCCTCCTGAGTAGCTGGGACTAGAGGCACCCGCCACCATGCCCAGCTAATTTTTTTTTTTTGTATTTTTTTTAGTAGAGACGGGGTTTGACCGTGTTAGTCAGGATGGTCTCCATCTCCTGACCTCGTGATCCGCCCGCCTCGGCTTCCCAAAGTGCTGGGATTACACGCGTGAGCCACTGCACCCGGCTTTTCCTGGGAAAATTGTTTCCGTCTCACTACTTATTGGTCTTTTCAGGTTTTGGATTTCTTTGTGGTTCATTCTTGCTAGGTTGTATGTATCTAGGAAAGTATCCATTTATTCTAGATTTTCTAATTTATTGGTCTATAGTTGCTCATACTAGCCTCTAATGATCCTTAGAATTTCTACAGTATCAATGAAAATGTCCCCGTTTTCATCTTGATTTTATTTATTTAGGGTTTTTTGTTTTTTTTTAGTGTGGCTAAAGGTTACTGGTTTGGTTTATCTTTTTTAAAAAACGAACTTTTCGTTTTGTTCATATTTTGTATTTTTTCATTTCAATTTCATTAATTTTTGCTCTTATCTTTATTCTTTCCTTTCTTCTATACTTATTTTGGGTCTGGTTTATTCTTGCTTTTCTAGTTCTTTTAAGATGTATCGGCGCCACGGGCCCCGCAGAGCCAGGGCGGCTCCCGCCGGTAGCCTGTGTGTGGGCCCCGGCCAGCCGCGCCCCCAGTCCATATCGCCCTTCACTGCCCCGAGGCTGGCGCGGCTATGGGGCGCGGGGCCGGAGCTGCTCTGGGGCGTTGGAGCCGCGCGCCGCTGGAGGAGCTGCTGCCGGGGCGGGGGTCTGGGCGGCTCGGGGGGCCACGCGGGCCTCGGACGGCTCCCGGGGCTGTGGGCTTGGGCCCGGCAGCTGCAGGTGCGGGGCTCTTGCCGGCCGGGCGCTCCTCGGCTCCCGCGCACCGGGTTCCCGGGCGGTCCCACCGCCACTGCCTCGGCAGGGGAGGAGGCCTGGCGGCGCGGGCGGGCGGCGCCTTCCCGGGACGACCAGCGGCTACGACCCATGGCGCCCGGACTCTCGGAGGCCGGGAAGCTCCTGGGGCTGGAGTACCCTGAGCGCCAGAGGCTGGCAGCTGCGGTTGGATTTCTCCGATGTCCGGTGTTATCTCCATGTCTGCCCCTTTCTTTCTGGGGAAGATCATCGATGCCATCTATACCAACCCCACTGTGGACTACAGCGACAACCTGACCCGCCTCTGCCTTGGCCTCAGTGGCGTGTTTCTATGTGGTGCTGCCGCCAATGCCATTCGTGTCTACCTCATGCAAACTTCACGTCAGCGCGTTGTGAAGAGGCTGAGAACTTCGTTATTCTCCTCCATTCTGGGGCAGGAGGTTGCTTTCTTTGACAAGGCTGGCACAGGGGAATTGATTAACCGCCTCTCATCGGACACTGCACTCCTGGGGCGCTCAGTGACTGAAAACCTCTCAGATGGGCTCAGGGCCGGGGCCCGGGCTTCTGTAGGCATCAGGATGATGTTTTGTGTCTCACCTAATCGGGCCACCTTTGTTGTGAGTGTGGTGCGTCTAGTGTCAATCATTGATGTAATTTATGGACGATATCTACGGAAACTGACCAAAGTCACCCAGGATTCGCTGGCACAAGCCACTCAGGAGGAACGTATTGGAAATGTTAAGAACTGTTCGAGCTTTTGGGAAAGAAATGACTGAAATAGAAAAATAGGCCAGCAAAGTGGACCATGTGATGTAGTCAGCAAGGAAAGAGGCATTCGCTCGGGCTGGCTTCTTTGGAGAACTAGGCTGTCCGGAAACCTGATTGTGCTTTCTGTCCTGTACAAAGGGGGGCTGCTGATGGGCAGTGCCCACATGACCATGGGTGAACTCTCTTCCTTCCTATGTATGCTTTCGGGGTTGGAATAAGCATTGGAGGTCTGAGCTCTTTCTACTCGGAGCTGATGAAAGGACTGGGTGCCGGGGGGCGCCTCTGGGAGCTCCTGGAGAGAGAGCCCAATCTGCCTTTTAAGGAGGGGGAAGGGTTATCTTAAATGAGAAAAGCTTCCAGGGTGCTTTGGAGTTTAAGAACGTGCATTTTGCCGATCCCGCTTGCCCGGAGGCGCCCATATTTCAGGATTTCAGCCTTTCCATTCCGTCAGGATCTGTCACGGCACTGGTTGGCCCAGGTGGTTCTGGCAAATCAACAGTGCTTTCGCTCCTGCTGAGGTTGTTCGACCCTGCTTCTGGAACCATCAGTCTTGATGGCCATGACATCCGTCAGCTAAACCCAGTGTGGCTGAGATCCAAGATTGGGACAGTGAGACAGGAACCCATTTTGTTTTCTTGCTCTATCACTGAGAACATTGCTTATGGTGCTGATGGCCTTCCTCTGTGACCGCTGAGCAAGTCCAGAGAGTGGCTGAAGTGGCCAATGCAGTGGTCTTGATCCGGAATTTCCCCCAAGCGTTCAACACTGTGGTTGGAGAAAAGGGTGTTCTCCTCTCAGGTGGGCAGAAACAGCGGATTGCAATTGCCCGTGCTCTGCTGAAGAATCCCAAAATTCTTCTCCTAGATGAAGCAACCAGTGCGCTGGATGCTGAAAATGAGTACCTTGTTCAAGAAGCTCTAGATCCACTGACGGATGGAAGAACAGCGTTAGTTATTGCCCATCATCTCTCCACCATTAAGAATGCTAATATGGTTGCTGTTCTTGACCAAGGAAAAATTACTGAATATGGAAAACATGAAGAGCTGCTTTCAAAACCAAATGGGATATACAGAAAACTAATGAACAAGCAAAGTTTTATTTCAGCCTAAGGAAACAATTACTGGTAAACAACATGAGAGACTTTAATGCAAAACAGTACTGTAGAAAAAAAAAACCTCAGAGACTGCATGAAATATGTAAACCATATATCAAGTTATTTGAAAAATAGCTATTTTTTCCAAAGCGTGTAAAATATTGCTTTGAAATGTACCTGTTCTCAAGATCTTTTTATTCAGAGTTTTAACCATTGTAACTTTTTAAATGTCTATAGCACTGAAGTTATTTTCAGGTTTTGTATTTTCTTTCATTGTGGAATATTTTAATTAATATAGCATGGCACCTCATTTTCTTTTGCCTGCTGTTAAAGATGGAAGCTGTTGTCAAATGACAACTTTAAAAAGGGAAGTATAAATAAAAAGCCTGATTATTTTAGGCCAGTTTGCCAATCACTGTGTAATTCCTCTGGTAGTATTCTACCTACTTTAAGTCTAATTTTACTAGATAGAGTAATGGAAAATGAAAATCTAACCCTTTATTCCGATAATCTCATGAAGCAAACCTAACTATTTAACATCAGCTGGAAAGAAGGGAACATTTATATTGCCCGTCTCCTGTGTCTTCAAAGGTGTGAGAGTTGAGGAATATGTGTTCCTACGGGAACTATGTTTGAATATGTGCAGTTTTCAACATTTTGGCAAATGAAAGCCTGACAAGTTTTTAAAAGGGCAGAAGCTTTATTTTTTGAACAGAAAAATCTATTTTTTAAATTCACATGTTTGTATGAGTACTTCTGGGAAGCAAGGGATGAACTGCTAGGTATTATTAAGAACGAATGATTTTTGCATTTAAGTTGTTTGAAGGCATGTATTTTGAAAAATATCTGTTACAAATTTATAATTTCAAGACATACTAAATCTTATAATACTTTTGGAATTTCATTAATAAGGCTAAAATCTGAGGAATGTAACTAATTTTCAGCCTTAAGACACTTAAGTTTGGAAGTCCTTGCTATTCAACAGAATAACAAGAAACCTTCAGAATGTATCACTCTCCCAAAAAGAAGATATTAATAAGCCCTTTTCTTTTATTCATGGTTATAGTTTTTTTATAGTCTCAAAATTCCTAAAGCAATGCTGACAGCCATTGAATTTGCCATATTTTGTATTCAGTGCTGTTAATGTGCTGTTGCCTCAAGAAAAAGTGCTTTTTCTCCATTGATGAGGCTAGACCCTAAGAGGTAATTAAGTCAATGTAAATCAAATGGAAGTTTTGCCATGAACTAAGCATTTATTAGTTCCCTGATTAGACTGGAAGAAGAAACCGCTATTTCATGACAAGCATGGAATATTATATTTTCTTCTTCATAATTAATGAATAAAATTGATATGAGCGAATGAATGTAGTATTTTTTGAATTAGTAAACAGTACATCTGTGACAATCATTTTAACAAGCTCTACTTGTGTTCTTTATAAAGTGTGATTTTCAGAAAGCAAACAAAACACAATTAAAAGGTTGAATCTGAGGAAAATAATGCTTGTACCATAGAAGTATTTACAAAATTGCATTTCATTGTTATGTTTTATTTTCTGATACCTGATGTTCAATTATATCTGTAGGTAATATTTTATATCATAGATTAAAATTTATAGTGACCTTAAAAAAAGATGTATCATCAGGTTATTTATTTGAGGTTTTTCACTTTTTTGATCTTGGAAATTATAGGTATAAATTTCCCTCTTACTACTGCTTTTTGCTGTATCCCATAGGTTTTGGTATGTTGTGTTGCCGTTTTTATCTGCTTCAATAAACTTTTCAATTTCTTCTGAATTTCTTTGTTGAAATTGTAAGGATCATTAGAGGCTACTATGAGCAACCATAGGCCAGAAATTAGAAAACCTAGACTATCTGGATACATATAGATACAGAAAAATTCACATTATGAATTTGTTCTTAAATAAGCTTTGGTAATTTGTCTCTTTACAGAACTTTAAGCTGCCAAATTCTTGAGTATGGAATTGTTCATAATAGTTATTATCATTTAAATATAGAGGTTCTGTAATGATATTTCTTCTTTTATCAGTCCTTTTTTCTTAGTCTTACTAGTATGTAACAACTTTACTGATTTTTTCAAAGGAACTTTTCACTTTGTGAATTTATTTACTTTCAATTTCATTTATTTCTTTCATTACCTGTTATTTTATTTTTTCAAATTACGTTTTGTTTATTTTTTCATTGACTTTTAAACCTACGTATTTTTCTAATAGAAGAATTTCAAATAATAAATTACCCTCTCAATTTAACTCTACACCACAAATATGAAGCTTTTATTATCATAATTTTATTTTATTTTTTTAATTGGCACATAATAATTGTGCATATTTATGGGTACATAGTGATGTTTCAATACTCATAGTGTATATATTTAATTACCCTGATGAGGTGATGGTAATTAGCATATCCATCATTGCAAACATTTATCATTTCTTTGTTTTGGGAACATTCAATATCCTTTGCTAACTATTTGAAGCTATATGTTATTGTTAACTATTGTCATACCATAATGGTATAGAGCATTAGAACTTATTCCTCCTATCTAGCTTTAATTTTGAATCTTTTAACAAATCTCTCCCTATCCCTCCCTCCCTCTTATACTTTCCAGCCTCTAGCATCCTCTGTTTTAACTTCTATAAGATCAAAATATTTTAGCTTCCACATATGAGTGAGAAGCTGTAATGTTTAACTTTCTCTTCTTGGCTCATTTCACTCACATAATACACTCCATTTCTATGCATGTTGCTTTTATGGCCGAATAGTACTTCATTGTGTATCTATTCCTTTTCCCCTCCTGTCCCCTCCCTTCCCCTCCTCTCCCCTCTCCTCTCCTTCCTTTCCCTTCTTGAGATGGAGTCTTGCTCTGGAGTGCAATGGTGTGATCTTGGCTCACTGTAACCTCTGCCTCTCGGATTCAAGTGATCTTCCACCTCAGCCTCCCGAGTAGCTGGGGACGTGCCACCATGCCCAGCTAATTTTTATATTTGTAGTAGAGATGGGGTTTCACCATGTTGGCCAGGCTAGTCTCGAACTCCTGACCTCCAGTGATCCACCCATCTTGGCCTTCCAAAGTGCTGGGATTGCAGGCGTGAGCCACCGTGCCCGGCCTATATACCACATTTTCTTTAACCATCATCTGTTGCTGGACCCTTAGGTTGATTCCATATCTTGCCTATTGTGAATAGTGCTGCAATAAACATCTAGGTGCAGATGTTTATTTAATATACTGTTTTCCTTATTTTATATTTTTTCTAAATTATCTTTTGATTTCTTTTATGAACTATGAGTTAAATAGTGTTTCATGTTATTTACAACTATTTGGGGGTTTCCTAGGAATCTCTTATGTCATCGATTTCAAATTAAATTTTATTGTGATCAGAGAATATATTCTATAAAATCTAAAGCTTGAGTAAGTTAAATTCATTTAAACTTACTCTTTGATTCAGCATTTGGCCTATGTTGGTGGTGCTTTCAATACACAAGAAAACAATGTATATTCAGCATTTGAAATGTAGTTTTTATAAATGTCAATAAGATCAAGGTGATTTATAATGAAGTTGAAATGTTCTATAGCCATACGAATGGTTTGTCTTACTGTTCAATCAGTGATGAACAGAGGGATGTTAAAATCTTTAATTATTATTGTCATTTATCCATTTCTCCCTTCAATTCTGCTTTTTCCTTCATGAATTATGAGGCTTTATTATTAAGTTGGTGTCCCTTTCATAATTATGAAATGGGGGCATTTCATAATTATGGACATATATGTCATATTAGGACAATAATATAATAACCAATTCATCAGAGGACAATAATATAAGCAATATTATTGTCCTCTGATGAATTGGTTCTTTCATAATTATGAAATGCCCCCATTTTCTCTTATAATGCACCCTCTTTTCCAGTCTACATTGCATTTTGCTAATGTAGCCACACAAGCTTCCTAATGCTTGCTGTGTATATGGTTTATCTTTTCTTGTAGGTTTACTTTTCATCTATCTGTGTCTTTATGTTTAATGTATGTTTCTGGTAGACAACATTAGTTGGGTCTCATTCTTTTGTCTAATATGACAGTCTCTACCTTGTAATTGAATAATTTAGTTCATAAATATGTTAAATGAAATGTGTTGCCACTTTTAAAAACTGTACAATCTCTTGTTTCTCTTCTCATATTTTTGTTTAATTGTATTTTAAGTATTCATTTTAAATTGCATAGATGAGTTAGTTGCAACGCTTTTTTGTATTGAGTTATTTGTATTACAATAATCATCAATTTATACTTAACTAATCTAAATTTTACTTCGAGGTAATTTTTGACAACTTCATATATAATGTAAAAAACTGATGACATCTGTTCTATTTTTACATTCTCTCCAGTGATTGATAGTGTTGCCTACTTTGTCAAATCAAAACAAGGCAACATTTTCCTAAAAAGTGATCTGTGCTCCACCTATCCTATTCATATGCACAGAAGACTTTCAGGGCAGAAAACTATTCTGCATGATACTATACTGGTATATGAATTTGCCTAAACTCATAGAATGTATGACAGCAAGCGTGGACCCTAATATAACTATGGACCTTGGTGATAAGGATGTGCCAGTGCAGGTTCATCAGCGGTAAGTAATGTGCCACTCCAGAGGAGAATGACAGCAAGGGGTCAGGCTGTGCCTGTGTGGACACAATGATGTATGAGAAATCTTTGTATCTTTCTTTCAATTTTGCTGTGAGCTTACAACTGCCCTAAAAATAAAGTCTATTAAAAAAACCCAAAACAACAACAACAAAAACTGATGACGGTAACATTTCCTTTACTCCCCCTCTGTCTTTTGTGATTTTTTTTAGTATAAGTTTTTCTGTCCACATCATAAACCCCACAATAAAATGATATCTTTTTAAATTTAAATAGTCAGTTTCCCTTCAACAAAATCGGCAGATTAAAAAAAAGTATTTCCTGTTACTCATATACTTACCATTTCTATGCTTTTCATTTCCTCTAATCTGGAGTTTAGATTCGACGTTATTTCCCTTCAGGCCAGAAAACTTCTGCTAGCATGTTTTGTAGTACAGATTTGCTGGTGACAAATTGGCCCATTTAATTTTTCCGAAAATGTCTTAATTTTACCTTCAACTTTGAAAGATACTTTAATAATATATAGAAACGAACCTGATGCTCTGTCATCTCCAAATACTTTAGTAGACTGATTCTCAACCAGGGGGAGTTTTGCCCTCCAGGAAACATCTGATAATATCTCAAGATATTTTTAGTTGTTAGCCTGGGGAAAGGTGTGAGGAGGATGCTACTGTCATTTAGTTATTAAAGGCAAACCAAGTCGCTAAACATCCTGCAATTCACAGGAAATGCCCCCAACAAAGAATTATGTGGCCCAAATGTCAGAAGCGATAGTGCCAAAGTTGAAAAACCTTGCTTTCATATATATTTTCTACAAACACAATTGTGTCTATATATGTATATACATATATATAATTGTATATATTACAAATCTGTTACAGTAATATATGTGCCCCCCCAAATGCAATACATGCACAGTACAACGAACAAAACCAGAAAATTAATATTAATATATTGCTACATCTAATTATCAAGTCCGCATTAAAATTTCACCAATAGTCAGCCGGGCACGGTGGCTCACGCCTGTAATCCCAGCACTTTGGGAGGCCGAGGCGGATGGGTCACGAGGTCAGGCGATCAAGACCATCCTGGCTAACAGGGTGAAACCCCGTCTCTACTAAAAATACAAAAAAAAAAAGGAAAAAATTAGCCGGGCGTGGTGGTGGGTGCCTGTAGTCCCAGCTACTCGGGAGGCTGAGGCAGGAGAATGGCGTGAACCCAGGAGGCGAGGCTTGCAGTGAGCCCAGACTGCGCCACTGCACTCCAGGCTGGGCGACAGACCGAGACCCCGTCTCAAAAAAAAAAAAAAAAAATTCACCAATAGTCCCAATAATGTTTCATAGCAAAAGGATCAAGTTCAGAATCATGCATTGCCTTTCATTGTCATGTCTTTTTAATGTCCTTGTATCAAGAATAGATCTTTAGACCTAACTTAACCAAGATTTCTGGCCCATATTTTCTTCTTTTTTTCCTTTGCTTTGCTTCTCCTTCCTTTTCTCCTTTCCTTTCTCCTTCGCTTTCCCCTTCCTTTTTCTCTTCCCTCTCCCCTTCCCTTCCCCCTCCCCTTCCTTCTCTCCTCTTTCCCTTACTTTTTCCTTTTCCCTTCCTTCTTTTTTGAATGGCTCCCTTTAGGTTTTCTGAGGTTTCCTTGTGACTAGAGTCAGGCAATGCATTTTGGCAAGAATATCACAGAATTGATGCTGCGTTTTTTTCATTGCATCCTATCAGGTGGTACATGATTCCAGTTTGTCTCACTACTGACAATGTTTATTTTGACAGGTTGATAATGGTGGTATATAGTAGGCTTCTATCTTGTTATTCTCTGTTTCTAGATTCTGTTACTTTATTTTATGTTGTTTTTCCTAAAGGGTAATAGGAATTTTCTCTGTTTCTTTATTTTGTTTTTGTTTATTTCCCTATTTTTATTCCTTACTATACTTTTAGCACATAGTACCTAGTGCAAAATACTAATATATGTTGAACACCAACAGTTGTTGAACAAATGTCTGAAACTGACTCTGTCCTGCTACCACAAAAACATATATATATATATTTTTTTCCTATAGGGATACCATCAACTCTACATAGTTGTCTAAGCCAAGACCTCCTGCTAGGACTGATTAAAGCCTGTGCATCCTCATTATCCAGAGCCTGTGTTGCTCCTCTAGAGCTATAGTCAGGCTAACCATTCCTTCTGGTTAATATCTGAAAGGAAGAATCATGCAGCAAGAAGAGAACTGTGAGGGAATAAAAATGGCACAAACCCAGCCTGGATTTCTCTCTCCCCTTTTAATGATGAATGAATGAAAAAAATTCATCATTAGCTGTAGTTAGTTTCTATTACATAAAAAGGAAGCTGATGAAATATATAACTGAGTTATATACCCACATCCAATTGGTTCTGTTTCTCTGGAGAACTCTATTAAAGAAGTTATTGAGTATTGTTTACATGTACACTGACAAATATGTCTAAAGGTTATGTCTGAACACCTATAAATTTATATCAATGATTCTATATAGTTCATTCTTATTACACTTGATTCTAATTCTTATGAAGTTGATGTTTGGTAGAATGAATGATAAAAGGAGATTCTGTCCCCTATTGAAGTGTTTGTGTAGTTACACGCCAGAGTTTTGGAGATTGAGGAAAAGGTTGAGCTTAAATAATTTTATGGGCAAACTCAATGCTTGAATGTAAGATAGTACTTTGAAAGATTTGGAGGATTTCATAATGACTTTTACTTTTGCTAATTATTGATACAGTCACTTGTAAATAAGTTTACTTAGGTAAGCTCAAGGAAATCATGCTTTTTCTCAGGCTTATTTTAAATCTGAATATTTTTACTGTCTTTGCTTTTACAAGAAAATATTCATCATTGTATTTTTTGTCTTAATTTTCAAAGTCAAATGTTAATTGTTTTTGTGGGATTACTTTGGCAAATATGGGAGATCCCCAAACAAATTTTAAAAAGTTTTTTCGGCCGGGCGCTGTGGCTCACGCCTGCAATCCCAGCACTTTGGGAGGCTGAGGCGGGCGGATCACGAGGTCAGGAGGTCAAGACCATCCTGGTTAACACAGTGAAACCACGTCTCTACTAAAAATACAAAAAAATTAGCCGGACGTGGTGGCGGGCGCCTGTAGTCCCAGCTACTCTGGAGGCTGAGGCAGGAGAACGGCGTGAACCCGGGAGGCAGAGCTTGCAGTGAGCTGAGATCGTGCCACTGCACTCCAGCCTGGGCGACAGAGCGAGATTCTGTCTCAAAAAAAAAAAAAAAAAAAAAAAAAAAAAAGTTGTTTCTGTTCTCCTTTGTTTTCTACTTTCTCTTAAATAGAAATATATTTCTTGTACAAATAAATGCCATGAATTAAAAAAATAATAAATTATGATTTTCCTTCGTGAGGATCAGTTCTCCTAGACATTGGTTTAGCTAATGCCAGCTATTTGGTATAAAAATCTGTATCAGTGGAGAGGTAAAAAAGAGCTAAAGGAAGCATAAGAAAGACAACCGCATCTTTAAGAAGTTCCTCTTTTTCTTTTCTTTTTTTTTTTTTTTTTTTGAGACGGAGTCTTGCTTTGTTCCCCATTGTTCCCCAGGCTGGAGTGCAGCGGCGCGATTTCTGCTCAGTGCAAACTCCGCCTCCCGGGTTCACGCCATTCTCCTGCCTCAGCCTCCCGTGCAGCTGGGACTACAAGTGCCCGCTGCGGCGCCCAGCTAATTTTTTGTATCTTTAGTAGAGACGGGGTTTCACTGTGTTAACCAGGATGGTCTCGATCTCCTGACCTCGTGATCCACCCGCCTCGGCCTCCCAAAGTGCTGGGATTACAGGCGTGAGCCACAGCACCCGGCCAAGAAGGTTCTCTTAAAAGGAATCACTTCTTGTTTTCTTACAAGTTATAACCTCACTACCCTAGAGTCACATTTTTTAATAACTTATGAATTTTCTGAAACTTCAAATACCCTATGGCCCCATGGTAAAACATCAGATGACATTTGCCTCTCATTTAAACCATTTTTCTTTTCCTCTTTCTTCTTTATTTTTCTTATACTCTCTCCTCATTTCTTTTTCTCTCTTCCTATTTCTCTTTTTCTCTCTGCTTCTTCCTACCTCCCCTCGTGACTTTGTCTCCTCATCCCATCACCGTGCTACTTAGATGCCACATCAATTTGACTAGCCTCAAATTTACAATGAATACTTTTTAAATTCATGCTTCTGAAACTTTTAAAGGATGAAGAGGTATAAATGTCTCAAATAATAATTTGCTTGATGGCTGAAATGAATGGCATTTCTCAAAAAGGCCAAGGGACTGAATACAGAAATTTAAACAATAACTTTCCGTTAGTGATACGGTTTGGATGTTTTGTCCCCTCCAAATCTCATGTTGAAATGCGACCTCCAGTGTTGGAGGTGGGCCTAGTAATAGGTGTTTGTTTCCCAAGGGTGGATCCCCATGAATGGTTTTGTGCTGTCCTCCTGGTAATGAGTGAGTTCTTGCTCTATGAATTCACGAGAGATCTTGTTGTTTAAAAGAGCCTGGCATCTCCCTTGCTCCCTCTCTCCCCATGTAATATGCCAGCTCCCCCTTTGCCTTAAGCCATGATTGTCAGCTTCCCGGGCCTCAGCAGAAGCTGAGCAGATACTGGTGGCCTGTTTGTACAGCCTGCAGACCATCAGCCCAAATACTCCTCTTTTCTTTATAAATTACCCAGTCTCAGGTATTCCTTTATAGCATTGAGATGGACTAACATAGTCAGTTTTGACAACATGAACCTTTCATATTAAAATTTAATTTCTAAATTCACTCATTTACTGTGATTGGTTGATAGCTTTTCTGTAATAATGAATTTTACGTGTGACTTTCAATGTGCTTTAAAACTTGATTCACTTTTTAGCTCTATTTTTGGAAACTACCAGCTTCCACTGTTGAGGCAAAAGTGTCATCATTGAGGCTCTCCTGCTGAGGTAGCTGTTGTCTGATTTCCCTTCAGTTCTACTGCTGTCCCAGTGGAAAAAGGGAATCTTCACCACTTACATGACATGTTTGCCTGAACTCTAATCTTCCACACTTGCTGTAGAAAAGAGTAAAGTGGCAGTTCAGGGCAGTTTACCAATTTAGAAACGGTGTCCGCTCAGTATTTTCCTCTGTGTCACTTACTAAAACATATAAAGAAACCATGGACATTAAAAGAAAGAGAGAGGTTTAATGTGATATTTTAATTCTAACAAGGATTTATGGGCACGTGAATGCTCAAAATCACATACCCCCTTAGTGTTTTTCATCTCACACATATCACATCAGACACATATCACACACATCAGGCACATATCACACAGAACTTACCGTAATTAAATTATCAGTTTTTGAAAAATATTATCATTTGCTCTCTTTTTTTCTATATAAATAAATTTTTTTAAAATATGATTTTCAGTTCTGGGATACATGCACGGAACATGCAGGTTTGTTATATAGGTATACATGTGCCATATAGGTGGTTTCTTATTTGTGTTTTCATCTTATGGCTTTGGCTAGAACTAGATAATAAAAGTATGCATCAATTTAAGAGTTATTTTTAATCATGGTAAGGACATATCTATAACTACTTTGTTAAATTTCATCAGTCATGCATGTTAAATATCATTAAATAAATATCAAAAATGGGCTGCTGTACCAGAATACCATAGACTTGGTGGCTTATAAACAACAGAAAGGAATTTCTCACAGTTCTGGGGTCTGGGAAATCTAAGACCAAGGTACTAGCCAATCTGGTGTCTGGGAAAAACTTTTGTTCTAGTTCAAAGAAGGCTGCCCTTTCTCTATAACCTCAGTGGGGAAGGAGCAAGGGAGTTCAGGGGGCTGCTTTAGAAGGGTGCTAAACCCATTAATGAGGGCTGCTCTCTCATGACTTAATTAGTTCCCAAAAGCCCCACCTTCAAAAACCCTCACATTGGCGGTTAGCATTTCAACATATGAATTTGAGAGGGATGTAAACATTTAGTCTGTAGCAGTAAATGTACAATATAAAGTAAATAGCTTTATTGTTGTGTTGCATTATATTAATATATATTTTCTAGTATTAAATCTTTGTATGCCAAATCACTGGGGTGGGTGATTTCTTAGTAAGTGTAGAATTCAGTTCCTTTTTCTTTCAGTTAAGAATATTTTAACTATGTTTATAAGGGATACTGTTTAGTAATTTTATTCTTTTTGTATTCACTTCATCAAGAGTTAGTAATAGTTATATTTGCTTTGTAAAATGAACTGAAAGGAAGCCACTTTTTATAACTTTATCCATATTTCCTAGTTTGGGGTCCATTTTACAAGATGTTTTAAACAGATGCTTATTAAAAACACTGGTTATAGGGACTTTAATAAAAATTTTTAAAATAATGTTTTACATTTCTTGCAAAAATTGATGCCTGCAACCTATTTACTATTTTTAAAATTAAATTAAGATTCATTTAAGCAGTACATGTTTATTTTAGTGAAACACGTATTTAATTTTCTAAGATAGTATTTTTTGTCTTTAAAACAATTTCTGCATGTTTTGTTTTTTTTTCACTTTAAATTTTATGTTTTCTCAGTTTTTGTTTTATCACATTTGCTATATTTTTCTGTATCATGGGTTATTTGTTAAAGAATGAACTTGTGTATGTTTATAAATTGTTACTGTTTTTGTTTATAATTTATTGCCTTCTAACTTAATATGTAATTAGCATTCCTTTTAATTTTGCTTGTATGCTTTGCTGTACCATTTTGAAATTCTTGAGTTAAATGCTTAACTAGTTTTTATCAAGTTTAAATATTAAATTAAATATGTCCCATCAGTTTAGTCATTTTAATATTCTCACTCATCAGACATTTTTTGGGAACACCATATGCCTTTTCATGCAGTCAGTTTCAAGAAAATGAAAATTACTTTTTATATGTTTATACTCAAAGCTTGGCTAGAGATAAGTCTCCCCTTCCTTAAGTTGGGGAGAAAGTGATTTCTTCCAGGCTATAGTCAAAAGAGATACAATTATAGTAACTTTTTGTGTTTGTTTGGGTTGTTTCTGTTTGTTTGTTTGTTTGTTTGTTTGAGACGGAGGTTGGATCTTGTTGCCCAGGCTGGAGTGTAGTGGCATAATCTCAGCTCACTGCAACCTCCGCCTCCTGGGTTCAAGCAATTCTAAACATATTTTAGCACAAAACTGTTTAAGATTTCAATTTATATCTTTTTATTATGTTCCATATACTCTTTTGATACATTACCCATTATGTTGATTATTAACGTACACTCAAGTCAAGATCTTTTATTATGTGAGGTCATCAGTCAATGATAACAGATATTGATGAATTAGTCTCCTCATCAGAAATTGAGCAACATTTTCATTCAAGACGACACATGGGCCTTTAAAGCATATTCAATAATACTGAGTCTCAGTGTTCTCCTGCTATTTTCTGAATGTGCATTTAGACCTTTATACATCTATCTATCTACTGACCCATTTATTAAATTTTCAGCATTTACTTTGTACTCCAAGGACCAGAACCATGTTTGTCTTGTTCACTGCTGTACTCCTATTGCAAGGACCTAGAACATAGTAGGAGCTCATTAAACCCTGAGGATTCAAAATAAGTGAATAGAGGTTGTAGCAGGAAGAAGTCTAAGATAGCCCCTATGACCTTCATTTCCTCATGTTACCCTGTTGATACCTCACACGGCAAAGGAGTCTTGCACATGTCACTAAGGCTAATAATCCGTCAGCCTTAAGACGGGGGGAGTATCTGGGTAAACCTAACCTAATCACACCAAAACTTCACAATCAGGGAGTTTTCTACAACTGAGAGTAGAATGGGAAGTCAGAGAGTTTCAGAGTCCAAGAAGCATTTATAGCACCCTTATTGACTTTGAAGATGCTTTGCTTCTTCTTTTGAGTTCAGTTTGAGATTATCTTTCTAATAATTGATTAGATTTTATTCTTGTAAAAAAAGAGATAATTTAAAGGAATCTATTTTTAAATACTCTGAGGAGGGTGATACTAGGGGTGCTGGTTGTCCTGTTTTAACTTTGTCTTAATTTCTAATGTAATTAAATTTTGAGTAGGTAATGTGACCTGTGTGGTTTTTATTTTAAAAAATATATTGAGGTTTTATATAATCTATTTTTAAAATTTTCAATGGAAACTTGAAAAAATACTGTTTCACATATTCTCGTATATATATATTAAAAATCTTTTTTTATTTATTTTTTATTTTTATTTTTTTTTGAGACGGAGTCTCGCTCTGTCGCCCAGGCTGGAGTGCAGTGGCGCCATCTGGGCTCACTGCAAGCTCCGCCTCCTGGGTTCACGCCATTCTCCTGCCTCAGCTTCCCGAGTAGCTGGGACTGCAGGCACCCACCACCACGCCCAGCTAATTTTTTGTATTTTTAGTGGAGACAGAGTTTCACCGTGTTAGCCAGGATGGTCTCGATTTCCTGACCTCGTGATCCGCCCGCCTCAGCCTCCCAAAGTGCTGGGATTACAGGCGTGAGCCACTTAGCCCGGCCTAATTATTTGTTTTTTAAAAGACGGTACATAGGAAGAAGTAAATCAGGAAAAGTGGATAGTGATTGGTGGCAGTAGAAGTGAGTCAGTGTTACAGTTACTATTGCTGCTTAAGAAACTAACCCAAATGGCCTGGGCGCCGTGGCTCACGCCTGTAATCCCAGCAGTTTGGGAGGCTGAGACGGGCGGATCATGAGTTCAGGAGATCGAGACCATCCTGCCTAATACGGTGAAACTCTGTCTCTACTAAAAATACAAAAGTTAGCCTGGCCTGGTGGTGGTGGGCGCCTTAAGTCCCAGCTACTCGGGAGGCTGAGGCAGGAGAATGGCGTGAACCCGGGAGGCGGAGCTTGCTGTGAGCCGAGATCGCGCCACTGCAGTCCAGCCTGGGCGACAGAGGGAGACTCCGTCTCAAAAAAAAAAAAATTTAAAAAAAGAAAAAGAAAAAAGAAACTACCCTAAATTTAATAAGGTAAAACAACGACCACTTCATTATATCTCATGGATCCTATAGGTGAGAAATTCCAGCAGGATTCATCTGAGTGATTCTTCCTCTCTCACATCATTAACTAGGGTGACTCAGTGCTAGTCGGCTGGCAAACAAGTCAGTCTGGAAGGTGCAAGGTGCTTTTTTTCTGTCTTATAAATTGATGGAGTTGTCTGGAAGGCAAGGCTCAGATGGGAAGGACTCTTAGTTATAGTGCCTGCACAGGGTAAACTTTTTTTTTTTTCTTTTTTTTTTGAGACGGAGTCTCACTGTCCCCCAGGCTGGAGTGGTGTGACCCGATCTCGGCTAACTGCAAACTCCGCCTCCCGGGTTCACGCCATTCTCCTGCCTCAGCCTCCCGAGTAGCTGGGACTACAGGCGCCCACCACCAGGCCCGGCTAATTTTTTGTATTTTTAGTAGAGACTGGGTTTCACCGTGTTAGCCAGGATGGTCTCGATCTCCTGACCTCGTGATCCACCCGCCTTGGCCTCCCAAAGTGCTGGGATTACAGGCCTGAGCCACCGCGCCCGGCCTGCACAGGGTAAACTTCTTATATGGCTGCTGGCTTTCCGCAGATCAAACACTCCAAGGGAACCAGGTGGAAAATGCCTGGTCTCTTTTTATCTCACTTTAAAGGTCAGGTAGAATTATTTGTCATACTCTATTGATTGTAGCAGTCACAAGCACGTCCAGATTTAGGGAAGGGAGACATAGACCTATTTTTTGATGAGAAGAATATCAACCTGTTTTTGGACTATGTTTAAAACTGCCACACATGACAATTACACACCAGGTAGAAGGCATTTGGGGACAGACTTGAAGGAAATGAGGAGGAATCGTGCTCTGCTGAAACAAGAGCATTCCAAAGAGAGACCACAGCTTGGGCAAAAGCCCTGAGTCGGAATCATGTGGACTTATTCTTAGAACAGCATCGAGGAAGCCATTATAGCTGGAGTAGAATGAGAAGGGGGAAGAGTATTAGTAGATGGTGGCAGAGAAATAAACATGAGAAGACGGATGATGGAACGAGCACCTTGTACGTCATTTTAAGGACTTTGGCTGTTCCTCAAACTGACATGGGACCATTGAAAGATTTTTTTATTTTTTATTTTTTAAATTTAACTTTTAAGTTCAGTGGTACACGTGCAGGTTTGTTATGTAGGTAAAGTTGTGTCATGGGGGTTTGTTGTACGGATTATTCTGTTACCCACATGGTAAACCTGCTACCCACTAGTTGTTTTTCCTGATCCTCTCCCTCCTCCCAGCTTTCACCCTCCTTTTCAAAATAAGACATACGTGCAGCCAACAAACGTAGAAAAAAAGCTCAGCATCACTGATCATTAAAGAAATGCACATCAGAAGTACAATGAGATACTATCTCACACCATTCAGAATGGTTATTATTAAAAAGCTAAAAAATAACATGCTGGCAATATTGTGGAGAAAAGGCAACATTTCTACACTGTTGGTGGGAGTGTAAATTAGTTCAGCCATTGTGGAAGACAGTGTGGTGATTCCTCAAACACCTAAAAGAACTACCATTCGACCCGGCAATCCTATTACTGGGTATACACCCAAAGGAATATAAATTGTTCTGTCATAAAGACACATGCATGCATATGTTTATTGCAGCGCTATTCACAGTAGCAAAGGCATGGAATCAACATAAATGCCCATCAATGGTAGACTGGATAAAGAAAATGTGGTATATATACACCATGGCATATTATGCCACCATAAAAGATGAGATCACGCCCTTTGTAGGAACATGGATGGAGCTGGAAGCCATTATCCTTAGCCAACTAATGCAGGAACAGAAAACCAAATGTTCCCACTTAGAAGCGAGAGTCAAAGGGGAGAATACATGAACACGTAGAGGGGAACAACATTGAAAGATATAAGCAAAGAAGTGATATCATCTGAATTGCATTTCTGAGATTTCTCTGGCACTTGTGTAAAAAATAGCTGAAAGGAATCAACGGCAGAAGCTGGGAGACCAGTTAGGGAGCTTTTGCAATAACCATAAGAGGAAATATGTGTGGCTTAGACTAGGAATCGTCAGGTTGGGAGTGCTCATATTCAAATGTGGTCAGAATCCGGACATTTTGAGTGAGCCTACAGAAAGCTTTAATACTATCTCAAACTAAAGGATATAGAAGGTTTTCCCTTTCTCTTGCCCTGAAACCTTCTGTATCCTTTATTTTGAGATAGTATTAGAATTCTTACTATCTTACTGACAATTCTCACTATCTTGTTTTATAACTTGGAACATGATTATAATTATAGTATTGTTAAATATTTTATTTTTATTTTATAATTATACTTTAAAAATATTATTTTGGTAAATAATCATAAAATATGAAAAATAAATCTTTCCATTAACTGAATCAATTGTCCCCTTGCAGGATTTTGGCTTCACAACTTCCTAATCCTTGAAATATTAATTTTGATTATTTTTCTAATATGTACCCATATGTCTTTGAGTAAATTTTTATTGGAAGGACAAATCAGTGCTGGATATACAGATGCCATTGCTTCGTACTCAGGTAAAGACAACCTGATATTTATGATCCTCTTGATCATATTTTTATTCTCTTAAAATCTTTATGTCTTCTAATAATGTTAACAGAGAAGAAAAAAAGTCTTATCTAAGCCTGACTTTTTATTTTTAAGGAAGTTTTTTTCTTTATTTGTAAAATTCAGGAGTTTGGCTAGTTGTTATTTAAATATGGAGAACTCTTCCTTGTTTCTTCCCCCTCCCTGCCTAGAAGCTGGTTGGTGCTTTTATTATTCGTACTTCAGTGATAGCTTTGATTATTGTTTCAGATCTCCTTGCCCTTGTGTCTTTCCCCAGTACACAAACTATTCTCGAGGTGGAACCTGTGGTCTCTGGCATACCCATCCGCCTTCTTCTCTGTCATTAGTTCATCTCTTCTTTTGCCCTCCAGAGCTCTGATTCAATTGCTGCTTGAACTTTTCAGTGTGTCAGTTTCTTTCTCCACGGATTTCCCTGTGGATGGAAAATCTGCCCTTGCACTTTAGTTTTCATAGAAGCCTCATCTCAGCTATCTCCCATTTTGTGATATGAGCCTCTTTTGTTATTGTAGCC
Source organism: Homo sapiens (assembly GCF_000001405.40). Lineage (NCBI taxonomy): Eukaryota > Metazoa > Chordata > Mammalia > Primates > Hominidae > Homo > Homo sapiens. The sequence continues at coordinate 189,441 of NW_003315943.1, read as the reverse complement.
TTCATCTCCTATTTCCTAAATTCCATGTGTTTCTACATACTGTTCATAGACAAATAGTTTAAAGCAATGTTCTATAGTTTCTTGTGGTTTGAAAGTCATATATTTTTAAATACGTTTTCTCCCCCTGAGAATTCAGCATACAGTTTCATTTTTCTTGTACGCAGGATGATTTTTAAGATTTTTTTTCTGTTATTTTTTTCCATTCTGGTTACCTAGAAGGTAGTGATTATTACCCCAAACCAGGGTTTGATACTGTGTTAGTCCACTTTCATACTGCTATGAAGAAATACCTGAGACTGGGTAATTTATAAAGAAAAAAAGGTTTAATGGACTCAGTTCCACGTGGCTGGGGAAGCCTCACAATCATGGCAGAAGGCAAAGGAGGAGCAAAGACATGTCTTACATGGTGGCAGGCAAGAGAGAGAGCATGTGCAGGGGAACTCCCCTTTATAAAACCATCAGAACTTGTGAGACTTATTCGGTTTCACAAGAACAACACAGGGAGAAACCCATCCCCATGATTCAGTTACCTCCCACTGGGTCCCTTTCATGACATATGGGGATTATGGGAGCTACAATTCAAGATGAGATTTGGGTAGGGACATAGCCAAACCATATCATTCTTCCCCTGGTGCCTCCTGAATCTCATGTTCTCACATTTCAAAATCAATCATGCCTTCCCAACAGTCCCCCAAAGTTTTAACTCGTTTCAACATTAACTGAAAAGTCCACAGTCCAAGGTCTCATCTGAGACAAGTCCCTTCCACCTATGAGCCTGTAAAACTAAAAGCAAGTTAGTTACTTCCTACATACAATGGGGGTACAGGCATTGGGTACCCCCAGTGTATTTACACCTGTTCCAAATGGGAGACATTGGTCAAAACAAAGGGGCTACAGGTTCCATGCAAGTCTGAAATCCAATAGGGCAGTCATTAAACGTTAAAGTTCCAAAATGATCTCCTTTGACTCCGTGTCTCACATGCAGGTCACACTGACGCAAGTGGTGGTCTCCCATGGCCTTGGGCAGCTCTGCCTCTGTGGCTTTGCAGGGTACAGCCTCCCTCCTGGCTGCTTTCACTGGCTGGCATTGTCTGTGGCTTTTCCAGGTACACAGTGTAAACTGTTTGTGGATCTACCAATTGGGGGTTTGGAGGGCAGCGGCCCTCTTCTCATAGCTCCACTAGGCATTGCCCCAGTAGGGACTCTGTATGGGAGACAGAGCCCACATTTCAATTCTCTACTACCCTGGAAGAGGTTCTTCATGAGCCCCTGCTCCTGCCCCCGCACCCCACCAGAGCAAACTTCTGCCTGAACATCCAAGTGTTTCCATACATTCTCTGAAATCTAGGTGGAGGGTCCCAAACCTCAATTCTTGACTTCTGTGCGCCTGCAGGCTCAACATCTTGTGGAAGCTGCCAAGGCTTGGGGCTGCAACCTCTGAAGACATGGCCTGAGCTGTAGCCTGGTGTCTCCCACCCCAGCCATGGCTGGAGTGGCTGGAATGCCGGGCACCAAGTCTCTAGGCTGCACACAGCAGGGGGACCTGGACCTGCTCCAGGAAATCATTTTTCCATACTAGGCTTTTGAGCCTGTGATGGAAAGAGCTGCCGTGAAGGTGTTAAGGTCTTTAATGTTCTGGAGACATTTTCCCCATTGTCTTGGTGATTACATTTGGCTCCTTGTTACTTATGCAAATTTCTGCAGGAGGCTTTAATGAAAGTCGGTTTTTCTTTTCTTTTCTTTTCTTTTTTTTTTTTTTGGATTGGGAGTCTCACTCTCTTGCCCAGGCTGGAGTGCAGTGCCGCAATCTGGGCTCACTGCAAGCTCCGCCTCCCAGGTTCACGCCATTCCTCAGCCTCCCAAGTAGCTGGGACTACAGGTGCCCGCCACCACGCCTGGCTAATTTTTTTGTATTTTTTTAGTAGAGACAGGGTTTCACCGTGTTAGCCAGGATGGTCTGGATTTGCTGACCTCGTGATCCGCCCGCCTCAGCCTCTCAACGTGCTGGGACTACAGGCGTGAGCCCCTGCGCCCGGCCAAAAATCTTATACATTATAATGCTCAAATTTTATCCTTTAATAAGTCATAACGGAGAAACATGCTAATGATTTCACAATTAAATGTGACGTTCATTTAGTGTTTTGCTTTGTAATATTAAATATTTTATTGTTTTCCATGTGATACCTTTTCCTTTAAAATTCTACTTTATGTGAAATCGATGATGTTATAAATAGTCTTTGATTTTTACTTTATTAATCTTTGTACATTTTAATATCGTTAAACTTACAGGAACAGTTTGTACACTTCATGGAAATAGAGTAGAGTAATAGAGTTTGATTATTTGTTTTGTTTTCAGCTGAGGGTTTTTTTTTTTTTGGTAATTTCAGTCTTAGAGTCTTTCTTTTCAGCAGTTAGTGGTATAATTCATATTTGTTTCTCATAGCTGATTTTTTGTTTTAACTTTTGTGAACTTGCTTATAGTTTCTTTACAACTATTAGGCCGGTGCAAAAGTTATTGAAGTTTTCACTAATTATTATTATTATTATTATTATTTTGAGGCAGACTCTCCCTCTGTCGCCCAGGCTGGAGTGCAGTGGCGCGATCTCAGCTCACTGCAAGCTCCGCCTCCCGGGTTCACGCCATTTTCTTGCCTCAGCCTCCCGAGTAGCTGGGACTGCAGGCCCCGGTCACCACGCCTGGCTAATTTTTTGTATTTTTAGCGGAGACGGGGTTTCACCATATTAGCTAGGATGGTCTCGATCTCCTGACCTCGTGATCCGCCCACCTCAGCCTCCCAAAGTGCTGGGATTACAGGCGTGAGCCACTGCACCCGGCCTAATTATTTGTTTTTTAAAAGATGGTACATACGAGGAAGTAAATCAGGAAAGGAGGATAGTGATTGGTGGCAGTAGAAGTGAGTCAGTGTTACAGTTACTATTGCTGCTTAAGAAACTACCCCAAATGGCCCGGGCGCCGTGGCTCACGCCTGTAATCCCAGCAGTTTGGGAGGCTGAGACGGGCGGATCACGAGTTCAGGAGATCGAGACCATCCTGCCTAATACGGTGAAACCCCGTCTCTACTAAAAATACAAAAGTTAGCCTGGCGTGGTGGTGGGTGACTGTAGTCCCAGCTACTCGGGAGGCTGAGGCAGGAGAATGGTGTGAACCCGGGAGGCGGAGCTTGCAGTGAGCCGAGATTGCGCCACTGCACTCCAGCTTGGGCCACAGAGTGAGACTCCGTCTCAAAAAAAAAAAAGAAAAAAGAAAAAAAAAAAAGAAAAAAGAAACTACCCCAAATTTAATAAGGTAAAACAACGACCACTTCATTGTATCTCATGGATCCTATAGGTGAGAAATTCCAGCAGGATTCGTCTGAGTGATTCTTCCTCTCTCATATCATTAACTAGGGTGACTCAGTGCTATGCGGCTGGCAAACAAGTCAGTCTGGAAGGTGCAAGGTGCTTTTTTTCTGTCTTATGTATTGGTGGGGTTGTCTGGAAGGCAAGGCTCAGATGGGAGGGACTCGTAGTTATAGTGCCTGCATAGGGTGAACTTCTTTTTTTTTTTTTTTTAGACGGAGTCTCACTGTCCCCCAGGCTGGAGTGGTGTGGCCCGATCTCGGCTCACTGCAAGCTCCGCCTCCCGGGTTCACGCCATTCTCCTGCCTCAGCCTCCCAAGTAGCTGGGACTATAGGCGCCCACCACCAGGCCCGGCTAATTTTTTGTATTTTTAGTAGAGACGGGGTTTCACCGTGTTAGCCAGGATGGTCTCGATCTCCTGACCTCGTGATCCGCCCTCCTCGGCCTCCCAAAGTACTGGGATTACAGGCCTGAGCCACCGCGCCCGGCCTGTGCTCACCCATATTTCTGTTTGCTGTGTGGTGCAGTGCGACCACACGGTTCTTCAGACACAACCTCTGCTTTCTCATTTACCTCAACACTTTAACCCTTAGATTCTTTTTTACTATACTTCAGTGTATTTCCCAGGCATATATTGTCTATGAGGGATAAAATAAAATATCAATTAAAAACAAAAAAATTCAGAGAAATATTAACCATTCACTCTTCTAAGTTCTCAAAGGTTACATTCTTCACCAAATCATATAACCAGGTCCCAATAAAATACCATCATGCAGGGAATTTAACATCATGTAGTTTAAAATACCATCATGCGGGCAGCTTTCAACTAAGCATCCTGTAAGAAAAGATCATTTGTTCTTACATCTTTAAAAGTTTGGAAATTGCTATGGAAGATTATTTTTATTATATTGTCCATTGTCTGTTGCTTGAAGACATATATTTTGCTTGAGTTTAGAGTTACCAAAAAATAGTTGCTGATATATCCAGATACTATTTTATTAACTAACAATACCTATTTGAATTCTGGTTTTCCTTTTGGCCTTTAAGAACAAGGGGCTTAGGACTAAATTTTAGGCTGAAGGGTAGTGTTTCCTTCCCTAGGTTGTCCCATGTAATTGTCACCTCTTTCTCTTCATTATTCTGTCATTTTGCCCTTGTTTTATAGTGTCTGTGCCTTTCATTCTAAGCTGTCTCAGGGGCTTTTCTGGAAATACACAGTGTATAAGTACAAAATGATGAAATAAACATGCTTCTTTTTTTTTTTTTTTTTAAGACGGAGTCTCACTCTATTGCCCAGACTGGAGTGCAGTGGCACGATCTCGGCTCACTGCAAGCTCTGCCTCCTGGGTTCACTCCATTCTCCGGCCTCAGCCTCGCGAGTAGCTGGGACTACAGGCACCTGCCACCATGTCCGGCTAATTTTTTGTATTTTTAGTAGAGACGGGGTTTCACCATGTTAGGCAGGATGGTCTCGATCTCCTGACCTTGTGATCTGCCCGCCTTGGCCTCCCAAAGTGCTGGGATTACAGGCGTGAGCCACCGCATCAGGCCAACACACTTCTTTATTTTGTTTTCAAAGATGCTTGGGTGGGACTAGATGACCTCTAAGGTCCTTTCCAGCTCTAAATTTACGTTACTTTCACCAAAGACAGACAAAAAAAAAATCTGTTAGGTTATAGGTCTAGAGATGAGTGCCAAGTACTATATTCCTGCTCTAGGTGCATTTCTTGTTGAAGGCAGTGCTAGATTCAGTGACCTGTTACGGCCGTTTACAGTCTTATGGTGATAAAACAAGAGAACTGATTGCTAAAAAAAAAAAAAAAAAATTCAGTTGAAATATCTTTTTACTCTTAAGCATCAACAAAAAATAAATAGAAAACAGAAGAGTTGAGTTATTTAGTTTGAGCTATTTGTAATAAATTTGGACAACTAAGCTAAGCCCGAGTGTAGTTAATTCAATGAAATTAGTCATATTTGAATATTGTCACAACCTTACTACCACATTAGCATTAAGTGTGATTAAAATTTATTCTTTGTTTCTGTGTGAGTCTCCACAGAATCAGCTATCAACACCTTCATAATAAACTAGCCCTTCATTGCTTTCAGGAAACTTTTAGATTCAGAGCAGGTGGTTGGGCTTCTGCTTTAAAAGAGAACACATCATTTTTAAAGTCCCTTTCCTGTTTGTGTGTGTGAATTTAGAACACAGAAATTATCCATTGCATTGTTTATTTTTGCTAGGAGGTAGAAGTTCTTAAAAATATAGGAAATACTAGATATCATGTACTGATAATTTCCAAAGCTAATTATTTTTCTTAAGTCCAAGCTATAATTTAAGAGGTGTACTTGTGAAATATGAATATTGTTTTAGAGTAATAAAATGTTTCTCATGGAAAAATAGAATATGATTTTGTCGAAGTTCAAGGGAATATCCATTTTCATTCAGGTAGCTTCCAGATTTTTGTCTTTACATGTTCTGTGTAGTGATTTAAATACCGTACCTCCAAAATTTATGTCCATTAGGAACTTTAGAATGTGATTTTATTTGGAAGTAGGGTCTTTGCAGATATAATTAACCCAGTGATTGAGATGAGGTCATCCTGGGTGAAGGTGGGCCCTAAATCCAGTGTAAATGTCCTTATAACATACAGGAAAAGACACACACAAGGTCATGTGAAGATGGAGACAGAAATTGGAGTTATGCAGTCATAAATCAAAGAAGGTCAAGGATTGCCAGGAGCCACTGGAAGCCAGGAAGAAGCGAGGGAGAATTCTTCCCTAGGGTCTTCAGGGGGAGTGTGGCCCCGCCAACATCTTGATTTCAGAGGTCCAGGCTTCAGAACTATGAGAGAATATATTTCTGTCCTCTTAACCCACCAAGTGTGTGATAATTAGGTATGATGGCCCTAGGCAACTACTACACTCTAATTCAGAAGTTCTTCTGGATTTTATTGTATCATGTGTTGGTAGGAAGTACCTGGCTGTTTCAGTTGCATGATATGTGGGTAATCTTAGAATTATCATATCTTGCAAGTAATTTTAAAGTATGTTGTAATGTAGTCTGAAGCTTTTTAAATATGAAATTTAATTCATGCTGGTGTCAATTACATTTGAAAAAATACAAAAAAGCTATATAAGATTCTAGGATCTTTCAGAATTTTATAATGTTTATAATGGACAGTTGGTTAAATAAAAATTGTACCCTAAACAATTTTGTTGTTGGCTTAAAATAGCATTTAATTTATTAGTGCTCAGATAATAGTTATCCCCTAAATAGCATTTTTACTTTCATATGTTGATATCAAACAGTGAAGTGAGACAGCAAATCAGTACAACGTGGTGATTATCAAACATCATAAATCCATGAAGGATAGCCTTGATCTTACTGAGAAGAGTTTAATTTTAAAATGCATACCTGGAAAAGGCAACTTAGATTAACATTTCAAACTCACATAGCATTATTTGTGATTGATTATAGTTATAATTGATCATTTTACTTTTGGACCGTCACTTCGAATCAAATTGGGATAAATATAAATTAAAGATTGATTATTTGCTTTGAATTTTAGATTAAAAAATTCAAAAACCATAAAAACAGAGCTTTGACTATAATAAAGGTATTTATCCTTTCTTGGTAAGAATTGGGGAGGGGTTTAAGAAAAGGCTAAGCAATGTTCTATTTTTTACGTAGGCAAAAGTTCATTTGTGCTACTTTTTAATTAGGTAGTTTGTTGTTTTTTAAATGACAGCTTCCTAAACACTACTGATTTTACATGTGCAGTCATTAGCTTTTCATGTGGAAATAGTATCTTTCAAATTCACGCAGCTGCTTATTTTATGAAATGCAATGAGACTACTTACTTGCCACCTGTCTAAACTGGAATGCATAGATTCATGCCTTGCCAAATGAGGAGTTAGGGTGAAAAGTGATTAACGTCCATTCTTTAATGAGTTTCTAAGTCTTTCTGAACATGTTTTTATTCTATCTATTGCAGTGGTATAGTAACATTTTCGTGTTGGTTGCTGTACAAAGCATGATAATACCTTTATTAAAGCAATGTTAATGACATCCATAAGATATCATAAAATATTATATTCTCAATAGGAAATTTGTTATATATAAATAACAATAAAGATCGTAATAAGCTCTCCTTAATTCTGTTTATTTTGACTTCATTATTAAGTTTGGAAACATAGGTGTCAAATTTAGACATTATTTATATGTAATTATAAAGCCAAATAAATGTTAGAGATTAACTTAAAAAGAGTTTTGTGGCTTAACAATTGAAGTGAGATAGTGAGATCACAAGGGGCTTAATCATTCTGAATTGATTCTACAGATGTCTCCTTTCTCTAAATGCCCTGTAAGCTTCCTATCTTCCATGAAAGTTTATTCCCATAATCCTGGCACATAAAATTAGTCATATAACTCTTTTCCATTCTGAGATTTCAAGGATTAGGACTTTCAACATAGAGAAAACGTGCTGTGTAGAAGCTGAATGTACAAAAGGCAACACTTGGCAACGGAATCCAGTATTTCCCAAGTATTTGAGGAAACTTACAAAACCCAAATCTCTAGTACTTGCTTTCACATTTGCTATCAGAACCAGGAAGGGAGGCCTAGAAATGGTTTGAATGGAAAATTTGTTGTTGTAGAAGGGGTTCCCATTCACTGGTGAATAGACACAACGTATTTCCCAACCTTCTTTTAATCCAAGATAGCAACATTTTTACTGGAGCCAAAGATAAAACCAGTATTTAATCTCCTAGAAATTAGGAGATTTATGACTCTGGAAATGGAAAGAATTTTCATATCCAGCCACATAACCAAGTCCTGCAAGAACATAATAAACAAACCAATCAAACAACAAGAATAACAACCACAACATGGTCCCCATTCTGTCTTTAACCTCTGATAGAAAGAGCAGTAATGGTAAGACGAGAAAGCTCTCGTCAAGTGTTTTCCTCATCTACTGTTAATGATTTATTCTTACATCCTGTCCCAGTCCAATTATGAAAAAATTCTAAGAGAGATCCCTTTAACTGACTTGTAATGAATTCCAGGGTCACATTCCAGATATTGTTTTCCCCTGAAATCGTGTAAGTGCACATCAAAATACTATACTTTTGGTGTGAATCTGAGCCAAATTCTATTGTATTCTAAATAAAGTGAAACTCCTATCAGCCAATAGGGCACGGTATCAGTTTCAAATAAGACAAGTTGGTAAAGTCAGGAGAAATGACTTCCTCCTTCCTCCTGATGTGCTGTATATAGATGTATTAGCACTGCCTTTTAATATTTTATGTGTTCAACAGAGAGGGAACTAACATCTTGTTAATCCTCATTTGAAAACAATTTTGCGAATGTAAATGTAGCAGGGCTTTTGCCTTTTTTCCTTCTTCATGAAAAACAAGTAGTGCTTGGGGAGCAAGTGTTCCTGTTCAACTGCTGTCACTCATTCCCAGCTCTGTTTAGAAGAAATAAGCACAGATGGTTGGTCTACTACTTCCCCAACGAAAAATTTGCCTGTTGGCCGGGCGCAGTGGCTCAAGCCTGTAATCCCAGCACTTTGGGAGACGGAGGCGGGCAGATCACAAGGTCAGGAGATGGAGACCATCCTGGCTAACACGGTGAAACCCCGTCTCCACTAAAAATACAAAAAATTAGCTGGGCACGGTGGCGGACGCCTGTAGTCCCAGCTACTTCGAAGGCTGAGGCAGGAGAATGACGGGAACCCGGGAGGCGGAGCTTGCAGTGAGCAGAGATCGCGCCACTGCACTCCAGCCTGGGCGACAGAGCAAGACTCCGCCTCAAAAAAAAAAAATTGCTTACCTTTTTTGTGTTTTATTCCATCCTTCTCATTGTCATGTGAACAGTATTTCAAGGGAAGAAACTTCTGTAGGGATCTTTGAAATGTTTATCCACTGCTTGTGCATGAAAGAGAAAAAGAAGAAATTAATGATTTATTAAAATTCCATGAGGGGAACTCAAAAACGCTTTGTTACAAAAAAATTTAATTTAGAAACCGTGTATTTTGCATGCAAAATTAAAGTCTTCAGGGAAGTAAGTTTTTATATCAGACTTGCATCCTAAAGTACTCATTTAATGATGACAGAACCACTTCATCCATGTTAAAAATACCTGTGTGGGTCTTTTTTATTTATACTGTGGCTTAATGAAAATTTGTCTATTGTAAATATATTAAGAAAAAGAGCATAAAGACTTTTTAACATAATTTTCTAACGCTGAAAATACATACAAACAGTAAAATACCCAAATCTTAACTGTACAGCTCAATACTTCTTTTGTTTTTAAACAAACTTAGCCCTTCTGTGTATCCAGTACTCAAGTCAGGAAATTTTATATTATTACTTCTTCTAGACACTATTTCATAGGATCGCTCTTATGGTGATTTGGAACATAACTGATGAGTTTTACAATTTTTAGTGAATTAGATCGTAGAATATGTTCTGTATCTTGCTTCTTTCATTCAATATTTAGTTTATAAGATTTGTTAATCTTTTTGCATATAGTTGTAATTTGTTAGGTTCTCATTGCTATATACTATATCATTATACAAATATAAGTTCAATTTGTGGTTATTTTGAATGGTGCCTCTCTGAGCATTCATGTATTTGTCTTTTGGTAAATATTGCTGGGTATATGCTCAGGGTCATAGAATATGGTCAGATTTAGCATACATGGAAAATGGTGGTGTCCATCAGTTTACATTTCCATCCACAATGGGAGAGAGTTCTAGTTGCTCCGCATCTTTGCCAACACTTGGTATCATTTCTCTTTTTCATTTGAACTGTTCTGATGTGTATGTATCACTATTTCAATTGTGGTTATTTTGAACATTACAAAATTGGCAAAGAATAACTGATTTTATTAAATCATATTTCATTTGAAGTAACGTGGGTCTACTTTGCAGTATTTTTCCCTATTTACATGATTCATAAGAAGAGTGATCATGAGATAGTCAACAATATAACAGCTTGGAATGAGATTTTTGATCAGCTATAATTGTAATGTATTTTATCTAAATATTATTTAACTGTATTAGTAACTGTGATCATTAAGAACAGAAACAAAAGGTAAGCAAGTCCTTAGATTAACATGAAACAACATTCCTGCCTTTTGAAAGGAACTTTTCTGACCTGTAAGTAAATGATGTAAATCAATTAATAGCTTAACTGAAATTAAGAGATGAGTCTCAGCTTTCATTGCCTATATTATATCTGTGTTTCTGGAGAAACAAAAAAACAGTATGACAAACCTACAGTCTGCTAGTTTCTTCTCACCCTGCCAACAACTGTTATATTACTGTTTAGCTGGTTATGTGCAACCATTTGTTCAGGATTGTTTTGTTTTGCTTAGTTTTACTTTTTAAGGCAGAGTCTTGCTCTGTTGCCCAGGCTTGAGGTCTATGAGTTACACTCAGGGTCACGTGGTCAACGAGATGTAATCACAGCTCACTGCAGCCTTAACCTCCTGGGCTCACGTGATCCCCCTGCCTCTGCTTCCTCAGTAGCTGGGACTACAGGTGCATGCCACGACACCCGGCTTGTTGAGCAGAGTTTTGATGAAAATCATTCATCCCTTCTTAATCACAAACAGTGAAACCTTAGAAAATGTAATTAGAGAGAAAAATAACATTTTGCACCAAGCTAATTGTATCTTTACCTTTTATTAGTTGGTTTCAGGATTGGTACTTGTTGATGGTTCTGTTTTGGAGTGTGCGTTCCCTGGGTTTAACTCCTTGCAGCACACTTTATATACGTTGTGTGGCCTTACTTGAGTAACTTAAGTTGCTTAACTTCTCCAGATCCCAGATTCTCAACCTGTAGAATGGAAGTAATTATAATACAAACATTATGTGGTGGGTTAGTCCAGGTCCTCCAAGAGGTAGATGTTGAAAACGAGTTAAACACAAGAGGATTTTATTAAGGGAAATCCCTGTGAGAGAAAATGGAGAGGAAGCTGAGTAAGCCTGGAAGAGGTCTCAGCTATGAGGCAAGTCTGACCTAGAATGAAGGAAAGAGGAAAGGAAGGTTGAGTGGAAGCACTGGAGCGTAATGTACAGTCTAAGGAAGGGTGAGAAAAGGCTTCAGGGAATCCTGAGCCAAGACTGGTCCTCAGAGAAGCCCTGTGTCTCCTAAAGAGGGATCTGCATTAGCCACCCTGTGGGCCTCAGTCATTGACTGAGGGGCAGATGCAGAAACAGATTTTAGAGTGAAGCAGCAAGTGGCCGTAGGCAGTTAGGCTTCCCATACTTTGAGGTCTATGAGTTTATTTATTTATTTATTATTTATTTATTTAAATTATACTTTAAGCTCTGGGTTACATGTGCGGAACTTGCAGTTTTGTTTCATAGGTATACACATGCCATGGTGGTTTGCTGCACCCATCAACCCATCACCTACATTAGGTATTTCTCCTAATGTTATCCCTCCCCTACACCCCCACACCCCACAGGCCCCAGTGTGTGATGATCCCCTCCCTGTGTCCATGTGTTCTCATTGTTCAACTCCTGCTTATGAGTGAGAACATGCGGCGTTTGGTTCTCTGATCTTGTGATAGTTTGCTGAGAATGATGGCTTCCAGCTTCATGCATGTCCCTGCAAAGGACATGAACTCATGTCCTTTTTTATGGCTGCATAGTATTCCATGGTGTATATGTGCCACATTTTCTTAATCCAGTCTATCACTGATGGACATTTGGGTTGGTTCCAAGTCTTTGCTATTGTGAATAGTGCCACAATAAACATACGTGTGCATGTGTCTTTATCGTAGAATGATTTATAATCTTTTGAGTATATGCCCAGTAATGGGATTGCTGGGTCAAATGGTATTTCTAGTTCTAGATCCTTGAGGAATTCACACACTGTCTTCCACAATGGTTGAAGTAAATTACACTCCCACCAATAGTGTAAAAGCATTCCTGTTTTTCCACAACCTCTCCAGCATCTGTTGTTTCCTGACTTTTTAAGGACTGCCATTCTAACTGGAGTGAGATGGTATCTCATTGTGGTTTAGATTTGCATTTCTCTAATGCAGGTCTATGAGTTTCTTATTCATGGTCACTAAAAGATGTTTATCATGAATTGAAATCTCCAGATAAGAGTAAAGCAATGCCTAATTCATAGTTACGCACTTATCAATTTATTTATTCATATTATTCATTATCATTATGAATATTCAACACATTAATAAAAGAGTCACATGTGCAATCTACTTGGGGTATTGGGAGAGTAAAGAATAACATAGTGGTGCTACAGGTAATTTAAGAGATGGTTTCTCTCTCTCTCTCTCTCTCTATGTGTGTGTGTATATATATATATATATATATATATATATATGACACAGGTATAATTATTTTCCTTCTACTATTTGTTATTGATGTATACTGCCAAATCCCTAACGGATACTGGAATACTTAACTCTAAGCTCCCCCCACGCCTACAAAAGAAGTGGGTACAAGGTTAGTTTTTAAATCAAAAGATTTATTAATAGTATTTTTATCATGTCCAATTGATATTATCATTATCAAAAAGTTTAATCACTTATTATTACTTGAAGGACCTCGTTAGGAAATATTCGATCCACTTTTTTTGTTTTTTTTTTTTTTTGAGACAGAGTCTCATTCTGTCACCTAGGCTGGAGTGCAGTGAGGTGATCTCGGCTCACTGCAAGCTCTGCCTCCCAGGTTCACACCATTCTCCTGCCTCAGCCTCCCGAGTAGCTGGGACTACAGGCGCCCGCCACCACGCCCGGCTAATTTTTTGTATTTTTAGTAGAGACGGGGTTTCACCGTGTTAGCCAGGATGGTCTCGATCTCCTGACCTCGTGATCTGCCCGCCTCGGACTCCCAAAGTGCTGGGATTACAGGCATGAGCCACCGCGCCTGGCCTGTTCCACTTCTTAAAACTGGTCACTGGAAGTACATCGTCTTGGGAAGAACTGGATATTTCTTGAAACCCCTTTCATATAGCCATATTCTCAAACATAGAACCTTCTTTTATTTTTTTCAAAGATTTTTTTCCATTACTGTAGAAAATTCAGAGGGTGTTTATGGATAGTGCAGTACTCCGCTCAAATACAGGGAACGAAAGTTACATTAAAATGATAATATTTTTTGCTGAAAAGTATTATGATATTTAATGTAAGCAAACAAATTACTCAGGTGATAGTGTTTTGTTTTCATTTTTTAAATGTCTTGGCCGGGCGCGGTGGCTCAAGCGTGTAATCGCAGCACTTTGGGAGGCCAAGGCGGGCGGATCATGAGGTCAGGAGATCGAGACCATCCTGGCTAACACAGTGAAACCCCGTCTCTACTAAAAATACAAAAATTAGCCGGGCGTACTGGCGGGAGCCTGTAGTCCCAGCTACTCGGGAGGCTAAGGCAGGAGAATGGCGTGAACCCGGGAGGCGGAGCTTGCAGTGAGCCGAGATTGCGCCACTGCATTCCAGCCTGGGCGACAGAGCCAGACTCCGTCTCAAAAAAATAAATAAATAAACATAAATAAATAAATAAATAAATAAATAAATAAATAAATGTCTTACTTCAATAGCTTTTGGAGCACAAGTGGTTTAGGTAACATGGATAATTTGTATAGTGGTGAAGTCTGAGATTTTATTGCACCTGTCACCTGAGTAGTGTACATTGTACCAAACATGTAGCTTTTTTATTCCACACCCACCTGCCAACTTCCCCCTTATGAATTTCCAGAGCCCATTATATCACTCAGTGGAGAGTCTTCAACATTCAGGGTGGAATCTTCAGGGTGTGGCCCTCTATCCATTGCTTTCCAACGTTTGTACTCTCTGCTTTGTGAATAGAGGCCTGTTCTCCCTGTCTGCCTTGTTCACGTACCTTTGCCGTTTTCCTTGCTGGGATGACATCCTTTGCCCTGAAGTTCTCATTAACCATACCATAGATGTCCTCTTCTTACCTCAATACATCCAAGGCTACCTCAAGTTATAACTTCTCCTTTAGTTTTTCCCTAGTGTCTGAGTTCAAATGGGCTTCTCTATATCCAGAATATCTACCACCTGTCTTATCTTTCCTCACACGTGGCACGTGCAGTTCCTTCCATCTACTTTCATAATGTTGTATTTTAACGGTTCAGTTGTGTTTATATTACACTCTTCTGTCAGGCAAACAAGGGTATTTATATGGCTGAAATCTACGGTATTTTTTAAATGTAGTAAAATGTAATGAATAAGCATACAAATGAATGAGTTAATTAATCTGTTATATTCTTGGTTAAGTAATGAGCATTATGAGGACAAAAATTGAGTCTTACACCTTCTTATAATCCTAAAGACCTAGTACAGGACTTGGAATATAGCATTCACTTAAGACATCTTTGTGACTAATGAATTTAAATATTTTTATTAATTCTAAGTTGACGTATGATTGTAATTTGGGGAAGGTAGTGAAATTTCAAATGGCTTTCACCACCTGTGAAATGACCCTTTTTACCTACCACATGATTTACCAGATCTTTGTTTAGGTGAACCTAGGCGAAAGCAGATTGTTTCCTCTACTTAGGAAATACTTCGCACATTTTCGTTGCTTATAAATTTGATGATTTTAATTTGTACAGTTATAATTTATGATATTGACTTGTACAGTTATATATATTTTACATATAATATATATTATATATTATATATAGTTATACTATATATAATTTTATTTTCTAAAGTAAAGAATATCATTACACATTAACAAAATAGATATAACTGTTTTCTTTCTACTATTTGTTACTGGTGTATACTGCAAATCCCTAATGGATACTGAAATTCTTATCTCTAAGCCCCTCTATGACTATGAAAAGAAATGGGTTCAAGTTTATTTTAAAAATCAAAGAGTTTATTAATAATATTATTGTTATCATGTCCAATTGATACTATCATTATTAAAAAGTTTAATCACTTATTTCTTGAAGGACCTAATTAGGAAATATATATGTGTGTGTATATCTATATTCTATCTATATATATCCTATATCTATATTCCATATATATTCTATATCTATATTCTATATCTATATTCTACATATATTCTATATATAGTCTATCTATATTCTATCTATATCCTATATATAGTCTATCTATATCCTATATATAGTCTATATATATTCTATCTATATCCTATATATAGTCTATATATATTCTATCGATATCCTGTATATAGTCTATATATATTCTATCTATATCCTATATATAGTCTATATACTCTATATATCTTATATAGTCTATATATATTCTATATATATCCTATATAGTCTATGTATATTCTATATATATCCTATATAGTCTATGTATATTCTATATATATCCTATATAGTCTATGTATATTCTATATATATCCTATATAGTCTATGTATATTCTATATATATCCTATATAGTCTATGTATATTCTATATATATCCTATATAGTCTATGTATATTCTATATATATCCTATATAGTCTATGTATATTCTATATATATCCTATATAGTCTATGTATATTCTATATATATCCTATATAGTCTATATGTATATTCTATATAGTCTATATATATTCTATATGTGTATCCTATATATATTCTCTATACATATTCTATATATATATACACACACACACACACACATATATAGTAGCCTGATATTTAAAAAATAAGATTGGGACTGCGTAAAATAAGCTCACCCAGACAATAGGGGTACAGACATATGTATAATTCAGCAAGAACTGGTAACAAAGTGAGATATGTCAACTCTTTGTAGCATATTGTTAAGTAGTATTAAAAAACAAGTAATTTTTGGTTGGGTCCATTGAGAGAATAACATTATTTTTAGAATGATCTAATGGCACAATAAGCATTTTAGCATTTTACCTGCAAAAGCATTATAGCTGTGCCAGTTTCTGTTCCAAGAAAAAAATACATTGGTGTATTCTCTAAAGGAGGAAATTCTGACCTCAACTATGTTCAGATAGCTGTGGCAGATAATACTCTGATCAGGTACTAAGTCATATATCTTTCACATTTCCCTTTGCTAGTTATACTCAGCATGTGGTTGGAAATGGAATCAAAGCCCAGTCTGGAAATCCTGAAGTCAAAGTCAAAGGAACTGATCCTGTGATAAATCAGATTATTGATAAACTGAAGCATGTTATTCAGGTAAGTCCTGATCCTATATTTTTTGGTATAGCCAATAATAAATAATAAGTGGTCACTTTCTGTTATACTTGATAAATTTGTTAACCCTATCAGGTAATCCTGCCTAAAATATTGTAACACATTATTTGTATCAGGACTTTTGGGAATATTTAGTTTAATGATTTTTGTATGCAGTCAATATGCAGTGGTATTTTAATGTTGGACAATCTGTATATGTGAAAAGCAAGCCTCAGCCTCAGCATTTCAATAATGAGAATCTCAGGACATGCATTGTCTTCAGTGAATAAGTTTGAACGTGGGAATCACTGTGACCATTAAAGAAAACACATAGAAGACCATAGAAGATGCCAGAGTTTTCTTTCAGGTAATTCTCTGAATGTTGCTATGAAGGTTTTTGCAGCATTTCAATACAAATTAGGTCATAGATGAATAATATGTACTTCTAATATTTATTTCCTATATCACCTTTTATATGTTATCTTATAATCTACCTAATGGTTGTTTATGAAATACTTCTGTTTTATCTTCAATAATATTTTTCATCAAGTGAGTGTGTATTGCTGTTTTTAATACATGACAAATGAAGCATGAACATATTTATCAAAATAATATTTCATTGAAATAGTCTATTAATTAGAACCAAACATGATGTTGCATGTTGTAAATATTACTCTGCATTCTGCATCTATTGATGTTTGGGGAAAGAAAGGCTATTTTTTTTTTTAGTTAATAGTCATTTTATAAAAATTTATATTTGAATATACTTTCATTTTTCCTAAGCAGAACTTTGCATGGCTAGTTGATGCTTATTTCTAGTATCGTGCATCAGAAACAATACCTAAATAGTACAGAGTTTTTATTGCATACAACATATTCCAGAGTCAGTAGTAGGCTTCTCATAATTGTTCTGCAAAGACAAAGCTTAAGTTTATGCAGAGCCAATTCCTGGGTTTCCATTTTTCACGAGTCCCTATCTCTCAAGGAGAGGATATGTAAGAAGGACTTGGGGGTTGGTGTCCAATACCATAGACTTCTCCCTTCTGTGAGGCAACAATGCTTATTCTACCATTGATACCTATAGAAAACAGCTCTCACCCTGGCTGGCAAAACCAAAAATAAATTCTACTGGAAAAGTCTAAGAGAAAAGTGGTATCATGACTACTGATGAGTTAAACCTTCCAGCCTCTGCTGAGCTGGTCCAGTTGGTACCTCACAGTATCGTCCACTGTAGTATAATATGTACAGCTAGATTATTTGAAAATTCGACCGCATAATTGATAATAAAACCAAAAGAGCTTTAATATTAATGTTCTCTCATTGAGGAGTGAGTACAATCTCACTGTGAGGACACAGTGAAATCTTAGGGGTTTCTTAAGTGGGGTAAGCATTCCACAGAGGATGGAGGAAGAAAAACTAGAACTTAAATATATATTTATTCCATCTCATTCTTTTATATTTCTTTGGTTGTAGTAAGGTATATAAAATATGTAATGTATTAGTGCAATAGCATATACATATAATTTATAAATACATAAATATACATATTAACTGGACATTTGTTCAGATTGTTTTTCTAAGATATATACATGATGAAAGCAGAACAGAAACCCTGTTACAGATAATAAGGATAGAGCTGTTCCATGAGAAGTGCAGTTATAAGAAAACACATTCACAGAGGAACACATAGATACCCAAGATAGAAAGGATTATAAAAACCCTTAGGAGGAGGGCTCATATATTTATTACCCATTCAGCAACCCCCCTCCCCATTTCTTGTTTCGTAGGTTTCAAAGCCTTTTCAAGGTGGCAGAGGGAAGTCATCCTGCCTTTCTTTTTTAGCTTCTGTGTGAACTTGAGTCCCATTCTTTATTCTTTATAGGAGTGTGCAGATCTCCAATTATTCATGCTTAAGTTTCATTCTGGGGTTGCAAGAGAATATCAAATGCAGTGCTACCTTTGAGGTCTATCATTTTAAGATCTGCTAGATTTATATGATAGAAATGTAGATTTTTATAGAGGACAGCAGAAAGTCATATCTTGCACAGGTGTCACTGAAAATTTACCTTTAATATCTAAGAATATGCTCTTTCATGAACTGCTCTCCTGGAGATGAAGAGAAGTGTTTTACTTTGCCAATTTTTTTTTTTTTTTTTTTTTTTTTTTTTTTTTTTTTTGAGACAGAGTTTCCCTCTTGTTGCCCAGGCTGGAGTGCAATGGCGCGATCTCGGCTCGCTGCAACCTCCGCCTCCCGGATTCAAGAGATTCTCCTGCCTCAGCCTCCAGAGCAGCTGGGATTACAGGCACGTGCCACCACAGCCCGGCTAATTTTTTTTGTATTTTTAGTAGAGACAGGGTTTCTCCATGTTGCTCAGGCTGGTCTCGAACTCCCGACCTCAGGTGATCCACCTGCCTCGGCCTCCCAAAGTGCCGATTACAGGCGTGAGCCACGGCGCCCGGCCTACTTTGCCAAACTTTTGACTACTGATGGTGTACGCGTGCCCTGGCAGGGATGGCCATTGTGCTGTCAGTATCAAGGGATGGCTAACAGCACCCACCACAATGTCAGCTATGAAAGGATTCAGAAAATAGCCTTCTGTAAGTCAGAATTTATTAATTAAGGAGTAGGGCCATGGAAGATGTCAACATAGGAATAGGTTTCAGATTCTAAACTGTAGATTTAGATGATCACTTCTTAGTGTTTGTATAAAATTTACTTTATTTTTTATTATAACATGAAGTTCGCTTTCCACCTTTATACTATGAAAAATGCCGTGTCTCACAATAGGGACATACCTGTGTTAAAGTATATGGAAGTAAATCAGCCACAATAGCAAACATTGCCTGCATGGACTCACCCAAAAATGCCTTTCTCGGCCTGCCATTGATCTGAACCTCATTTCTACCTTGCATTGTCTGCAATTAGAGTCACTAAGGAAGTAGATAAAGATTTTTACTTGGAAAATGTCACTTTTTAATGTTTTAATAATTAATTCGTTCAAGATACTCAACAAATGCTCACTGAGTTTCTAGTACGGTCCTGGTTCTGTACAGGCACTGAGGTTAAAGTTGTGAATAAAGCAGACACAACCCTGCTCTCATGGGCTTTCCATTGTAAGAAAAAAGTAAATAAACAAACCAATGAAACCAGTATTGTAGCTGACACATGTTATGCACAAAACCAAACAAGGTGAGGTAAGGAAAGATATTTAAGAAGAGTGTGCTGGTGAAGGCCACTCAGGGGCAGATGTTTGGGTTGATGCTGAATAAGGAGAAGAAAGGAGTCATGGGAAAACCTGTGAGAACTGTGTCTGGGGCAGAAGGCAAAGTAGGTGTAAAGGCCCTGTGGCAGGAATAAGTTTATTTTATTCAGAGAACAGAAGGCCAGGTGGCTAAAACAGAGTGAGTTAAAGGGAGGAGATAAACATACATCATGTTTTGGGGAGTCCAGTAGGCTCTGGTAAAGAGTTTATATTTTCTCCTAAATAGACTAAGAAGTCATTTTAAAACTGTAAGCAGAAACTAGCTGCGCGCAGTGGCTCATGCCTGTAATCTCAGCACTTTGGGAGGCTGAGGTGGGTGGATCACCTTAAGTCAGGAGTTTGAGACCAGCCTGGCCAACATGGTGAAACCCCATCTCTTCTAAAAATACAAAAATTAGCTGAGCACGGTGGAGCGTGCCTGTAATGCCAGCTACTGAGGAGGCTGAGGAAGGAGAATCGCTTGAACCCAGGAGTCGGAGCCTGCAGTGAGCCAAGATCGCGCCACTGCACTCCAGCCTGGATGACAGAGCAAGACTCCTTCTCAAAATAAATAAATAAATAAAAATACATCACAAATTTAATAAATAAATAAATAACTGTAAGCAGAAGCTGATACAATTTAATACATGTTTTATGAGGACTTCACTATGAAAACTGGACCCTGCGTACAAGAATGGAAAAAAGAAAGTAACACAGACAGAAGGCCACATAATTGGAGCTAGAATAATAAGAGTGGATAAGCTGAGAAGTGCATAGATTTAGACAAATATTGGAAGCGGGGTTTTTGGGATTTGTTAATGGATTGGAAATTTGGGAGACGGAAGAAAGATGATAGCGAGGTTTGGTGGGATGATAGTGTCACTAAGTGAGAAAAGGAATTCTGAGAGAGGAGCAGGCCTGGCGGAGGGTCCCTGGGATTGATTAGAAATCAGTGGTTTTGTTAACTGTGAGATGCTTGTTAGATGCCCAAGAGGGATGTGCAGAACTCAGGGAGACCACACAACTGGAGGTGTATGTTTGTAAGCATCAGCACGTGGATAGTATTTAAGCCCTGAGATTGTATAAGGTTGTCACCTTTCCTTTAGAGTATAAATTCACACCAAAACTATTGGTGGAGATGATAGGACAAGGGAATCATACAAAAAAAATTGTACTGCAAAAAGCTATGAATGAATAAAACATTTTATTAAATGTATTTGGCACCTTGTATATACCTAGTTGATCTAGGACAGAGAAGATACTTAGTAACATTCATTTTTTCTTACTGTAAGAATAATGACCCAGGAGGCGGAGGCTGCAGTGAGCTGAGATCAGGCCACTGCACTCTAGCTCTAGCAGACAGAGTGAGACTCCGTCTCAAAAAAAAAAAAAAAAAAAAGAATAATGAATGCTCATCAGAGGGAATTGAATTTTATTATTCTAGGAAATCTGATGGAAAAAGTGAAAAATAAATATTGATACCATTTATAAAACAATGAAAAGACTTATAAGAGAAGCCATCTAGGCTTTTCTCTATACTTAATTATACATATAAATACATCAGTACTTTACTTCAAAAAATAAGATCATAGGGTACATTTGATTTTATGATCTGAACTGCTCACCTGACCACACAAAACAAATACTTTACCATGACATTAAATAGTCTGCTATCTGGTTGTTAGTGCTGGCATACTATTCTATCATATGGAAAAATTACAGTTTTCCTTCACCCAGTCACCGAAAGTTGGATATTTAGGATGCGACCAGTTTTTCATGATAATAAAGACTAATAGGAATAGCAGTAGACATAAGATGTTTTTGGCATCTTTTTTTTCTTGTAATACGTTCTACATATTGAAACTAATAATTGTATTTTGCTACATATTGCCACGTTTTTCTCAAGGAAAATTATAGCTAACAGAAAGTGTCAGCTTTCTCTGTGTGTTAAGGGTGTGGGTGGAAGCTCGGCAGTGACGCTGAGACATATTGGTATGGAACATCATTGGACTCTCTAGAGATCAAGGTAGCAGTCCTGTAGAAATGTTAGCCCGAGCTGTGTGTCACCTGGGAGTACTCCAAGGACGGCCAAAAGAAATATTTTAGTTAGAAGACAATTTATAAGAAAAGTTTAGAGGCTTCCTAGAGAGGTCATAGCATACACAATTTTATTTCATCCTTTAGGGCAAGCCGTATATATATGTTCTGCGCACATCTCCTCCTGCACCCTCCTCAAAAAAAAAAAAAAAAAAAAAAAAAAAAAGCTGAGATCTGATGTAAATAGATAGCTGTGAATTATAGCTTGGTCCTTAAGGAATATCTCAGAAACTTCAATGTTCCTTCACCCCCTCCGCAAACCCTTCTGAATTGAGAATGGGAACCTTGGCAACAGAGGGGAGTCATGCACCTCCCTTTTCCATCTGTGACTCTGGCATCTTCCTCCAGGTCAGCCATGGTGCAAACTCTCACAGTTACTTTCTGGCAGTTTCCTGCATTCCAAACCTGTTTCTGAAATGGGCAATATTTGTCCCCTTGAAAATCACCTGTGATAAATGTGGTATAGCCCACGGCCAGTGAAAATTTTCCTACAGGGAGACATATTCCTAAGTGTTAACATTAACTTTTTCAGATGTTTGAGTCAGACTCAATTGCCCTTTCATATTATAGATTGAAAACAACACTTGGTTGATGTTAGTATATCTGATTGAGGAAATATGAGAGCCTTTTTAATTTAGATTTGCTCGCCTAGAAAACTCACTTTGAAACTTCTTGGTCATGTTATGTTTGCTTATGGCAAAGTTATCAGCAAAAAAGTCACTGTTATGCAGCAATTTATCTTTAAACACTAAATGACATCTATCATTTTTCAAAGAAAATAGTGTCAGCAGTTAAAATCCTAACTGCTTGAGCACTGTTAGTTGACAATTATAATGCCCCATTGCTTAGAAATTAATTGACCTACTTTCAATAAGAAACATAAAAAGTAATATCACAGCAATTTTCTGGATCTATTTTATTCCAAAACCAATAAATGTTACAGTGTTGTTAAAAGTAATAGATTTAAAAACATTTTATTTTCTTAAACTTAACAATTCAAATAACATAAAATAATATTACGTTTCTATTAAGTATTCATTTTTATACAGACCAAAAGTTCTTTAGAAAATGTCTTCATGTATAATATAAATTTGATTTTTAGATGTGAGAAAAGCAACAATCATAATCGTTGCCTAAATCCACAAAATAAGTAGATATTCTATAATATGTATTTCAGTAATCACAATGTATTGGATTCAGGCAGAGATGAGAGACACTCTGATTTTAGCAGAAAAAGACTGTGTTAAATTACCTCTTTGCCTTTTCTCACTCTGTTCCTAGGATAGCAATATAATAAATAGTAACTTTAGAACTGGGATACACTGAGAAAATGTCCTAATTTAAATCTCAATAGATGATTACACAGGTAGTGTTTACACACACACACACACACACAATGACAGGAGTTTTTAAAGATATTAGTATCTCGGAATTTTTGAATTCTGAAAACTGTCCAAGCTTTTATCATTAAATCACTTGTTATGAAACCCATTTTAGAAACACGCTTTCCTATTTTTAATAGCCTATGATAGTCATACAGAATGAGTTAATCAAAATTGATTGGTCAATTGCTAATTGCAAATTCTTTGACCGTAGCATGTCAGCTGAT
This sequence comes from Homo sapiens, assembly GCF_000001405.40. Taxonomy (NCBI): domain Eukaryota; kingdom Metazoa; phylum Chordata; class Mammalia; order Primates; family Hominidae; genus Homo; species Homo sapiens. Next base: position 165,960 of record NW_003315943.1, on the reverse strand, counting down.
TCTATGAACTTCTACAGACTCTTTCCCTTGGTCCGGGAGTTGCCACAACACTCTGACTCCTTTCCCCACAACTCCATTACATGATATTGTCACCTCCCCAGGCTTACGATACTAATATTCCAGAGAGATGAACAGTCCTTGATTTTGAATAGCAATGCAGTAGTGACCAAAACAGATTTAGTTTTGGTTCAGAAGAAAGTGCTGGATATGCCCTCAGTAACTTTCCATGGTCATCTAATTCAGCAATTAGTTTGAGTAAATTCAATGGAAGGCTGCTTTCTGGAATGGGTAGTGTAATGTACTGACTTCCCTATTAGACATTTCATTTAAAAAAATCAATTGTCCGCATAAAACAACCATTTCAATCAGTGTACATTCAACTGGAAAGGAAAGTTAGAGGACTTTTTTTGAAAGTAATGGGATTGGGGTTGGCCGTTGCTAATTTCTTTTTGATTAAAGCGTATGTAATTGTTTTGTGTTGGATAAAAATTTGACTTTTTATTTGCGCGGATGCTGCTGATCTTATATGTTATCATTTCCCATTCAGACTTGAGCTGTTTACCTGCCGGGTTTTCTGTTCATAAAATGTTGAAAGGACGTTAAAATGTAGAACTTTTACATTTTTTATTTAGGTGACTAGGACAAATTCTGGTAATTTGTAGGCTACAACTTAAATGTATTTCTGCTTAAAATATTTTGAAATATGGTTTATTTCACAAATGAGGTTCCAAACTATAACCAGCTCTCACTAAATTCTTATTTATTTATTTATTTATTTATTTATTTTGAGACGGAGTCTTTCTCTGTCACCCAGGCTGGAGGGCAGTGGCCGGATCTCGGCTCACCGCAAGCTCCGCCTCCCGGGTTCACGCCATCCTCCTGCCCCAGCCTCCTGAGTAGCTGGGACTACAGGCGCCCGCCACCACGCCCAGCTCATTTTTTGTATTTTTAGTAGAGATGGGGTTTCCCCGTGTTAGCCAGGATGGTCTGGATCTCCTGACCTCGTGATCCGCCCGCCTCGGCCTCCCAAAGTGCTGGGATTACAGGCGTGAGCCACCGCGCCCAGCCAAAAGATCATTTTTAAATTATGTATCTGGGAATATATTATCAAACCAGGCCTGAAACTTATTAAAAAGATGGTAAAATCTAATTTAACTTCATTTAATACTCCTTTTCTCTTAGTCTTATAAAAGCAAATGAGCTTGTTGGCTTTTCATTATGAAAATATAATTTTAATTTATAAGACATATGTAACAAAGCAAGATAGCTGCTAAATTCACTCTATCCTAATAACTTCTGGTACCCACCTGTGGTCCCAGCTGTTTGGGAGGCTGAGGTGGGAGGATCCTGTGAGCTGGGGAAGTTGAGGCCGCAGTGAGCTAAGATCGGGCCCCTGCACTCCACCCTGGGCAACAGAGTGAGACCCTGTCTGAAAATAAAAAAAAATAAAAAACGGGGTTGAGAGACAAAAAAGGACATCCTTTTTTTTATTATTGTATTTTGAGATGGAGTTTCGCTCGTTGCCCAGGCTGGAGTGCAATCGTGTGATCTTGGCTCACTGCAACCTCCGCCTCCCGGGTTCAAGTGATTGTCGTGCCTCAGGCTCCCGAGTAGCTGGCATTACATGTGCCTGCCATCACGCCCAGCTAATTTTTGTATTTTGATACAGACGGGGTTTCACCATGTTGGCCAGGGTGGTCCCCAACTACTGACCTCAGGTGATCCACCTGCCTTGGCCTCCCAAAGTGCTGGGATTACAGACATGAGCCACCGCGCCAGCCGAAACCTTCATTTTAGAAAAGGCTGGGTCAGGCATCATGCCTCATGCCTGTAATCCCAGCACTTTGAGAGGGCAACGCAGGCGGATCACCTGACGTCAGGAGTTCGAGACCAGACTGACCAACATGTTGAAACCCCGTCTCTACCAAAAATATAAAAATTAGCCGGGTGTGGTGGCACACACCTGTAATCCCAGCTACTCAGGAGGCTGAGGCAGGAGAATTGCCTGAATCTGGGAGGCGGAGGTTGCAGTGAGCCGAGATTGTGCTACCACACTGCAGCCAGGATGACAGAGTGAGACGCCATCTCAAAAAATAAATAAAGGCTGGGTGCCAGATGTGGTGCATAGGCCTAGTTTGTTGACTCCTGTACTTAACATATAAAACTCTAAAGAACAGTGGGAAGGAGCTTCCCTCTAGAGGCACAGGAGCGGCCAAGTTGGTCCCTGAGCAGTGACTTCATAATAACATGTTACACTGTGTTTTTTGTTTTTGTTTTGTTTTTTGTTTGTTTGAGACGGAGTTTTGCTCTTGTTGCCCAGGCTGGAGTACAATGGCGTGATCTCAGCTCAAAACAACCTCTACCTCCCAGATTCAAGTGATTCCCCTGCCTCAGCCTCCAAAGTGGCTGGGATTTCAGTCATGCAACACCACGCCCAGCTAATTTTGTACTTTTAGTAGGGATGGGGTTTCTCCATGTTGGTCAGGCTGGTCTCGAACTCCTGACCTCAAGTGATCTGCCCGCCTCGGCCTCCCAAAGTTCTGGGATTACAGGCGTGAGCCACCACACCCGGCCTATTTTTTTTTTTTTTTTTTTTTAGACACAGTCTGACTCCGTTGCCCAGGCTGGAGTGCAGTAGCGCGATCTTGGTTCACTGTAACTTCTGCCTCCCTGGTTCAAGCGATTCTCCTGCCTCAGCCTCCCAAGTAGCTGGGATTACAGGCATGCACCACCACATCCGACTAATTTTTGTATTTTTAGTAGAGATGGGGTTTCACCATGTTGGCCAGGCTGGTCTCAAACTCCTCACCTCAAGTAATCCGCCCGCCTCGGCCTCCCAAAGTGCTGGGATTACAAGGCGTGACCCACCGGGCCTGGCCCTGTGTGTTGTTTTATGTATGTTTCTATACGTGTTATATTTCACAATAAACTAAATATTAAAACAAAGAATAACTGATAGCTATGCACAAAGGTATTTAAATTTCACCTTCACAATTTTTTTTTTTTTTGAGACAGGATCTCACTCTGTTACCCAGGCTGGAGTGCAGTGGCACCACCTTGGTTCACTGCAGCCTTGACCTCCCAGGCCCAAGCGATCCTTCTACCTCAGCCTCCTGAGTAGCTGGGACTACAGGCACACTCCACCACACCCACCTAATTTTTGTATTTTTGGTAAAGATGAGGTTTCACCATGTTCACCATGAAGCCCCTGCCTCATTCCCAAGTTCTCTCCTTTTCCACTGCCAGTACTTGGAAGGTTATGTGCCATGTGTGTCATAGGTTAAGGCTAGAGGAGTTTATTCTGACTGACATTGAACTTTATGGGAGCAACCAACAAACTTTGGTTTGGTTGAGCCACTGAGAATTCCAGTTTAGTATCTTCTTGTTGCTACTGCTGTTTACCAACACAGTGGGATTTCTACAGGGCTCCAGCGGGCAGAGAAATTCCATGTGAACAAGAATGTCTCATGTTGGGCTTCTGTATAAATTGTGCTGATGAAAAATGTTAAGCTGATAAAAATTTTAGAAATTCATTGCTCCACACTGTATCGATGCTATTTTTGTCTCAGTTGAAGCCATCCTAAAATTATATATTTAGATCATACTATCTTCAATAGAATTGTTTTTACCGAGTTGCTTTTTGACGTTATAGATGAGCCTTTTGTAATTCACAACTGAGTTTATACACAAATGTTATTGAGTCTATTGCCCACCATGTTAGAGAGGTTTATGAGAGCTCAATGCAGAAATGCCTCTGAAGTGGGAAAATCTGTCATTTCTCTGAAGAAACTATTATAGTTTTAACAGAATGAGTGATGGAAAATAATAATATAGAAAATCATATGAAGGAGTAAGAAAGATGGGGCACTATTAAAGGGATTATTTGATGGCAATAAGGATGAAAATGTGTCATTGAAATTCTTAGGTTTCACATAGAAATTGCACCGGTTTATCCTAGCAGACATTTTGTTTAGAAGTTTTTAAGAAAATAAATTTCTGAATCATGGTTTACACTGTTTTAGGTCATTGGAACTAGTAAAAATGTTTCACTATGCAGACTATTAGTCAACATTTAAATCATGCTTTTCAATAAAGAATGTCAAATTGTGAGAGGAGAATTAATAAACCTAATTGTTACAGTCACTGAGCTGACATGTTGAAGTGCCTGGAAAATTTCTCACATGAATAATGGGTGAAGAGTCAAAGAATGTTTCACTTGGGGAAAAGAAGACCTGCCGGGTTTTGGAAAGGGTATGTGTATGCATTTAGTATTGTTTAGTGTGGTAGCTCTGTGGTCCTGACCTTCACATATTTATTGGGCTGCCATGTGTTAGGTGGAAACACAAAACTGTCATTTTTTTGTAGGACAAAAAAGGCTGAATACTGACAATTTCATATGGTTCCACCTAATAGAATAGGAAACAGAGTTATCTCTGAATTGTTTATCTAAGGTAGAATTTGGGGAAGTACTTACAATTTATAAAAATTAAATTTTAGACTAAAATATATAGATATATCTAGAGTTGTTCAAAAATGAAAATAGAGCTGAAATATCAAGTGCTATAATGGAGTTCATATGAGAATTCCATGCTTTATATTTGAGGTTGGATATGTGCTTTTTCTTTATCCCTTTCATTTATATGGATCTAATCTTCTATAATGCTTCAAACATTTTGACAGAGATCTTCTTTGGTGTTCTTTTTTCTCTTGATTTAAAAATCTGCTTTACAACCAAACAGTAAGATTAAACAAAACCAAACAATGCCCATGGCTTCATGGTCACTCTACCCATCTACAAAGGCCTTGTGCATGGCCTATTATGGTCATCTTGAAATTCTTTGTAAGTTTTTATCAAAGGGTTCTACATTTTCACTTTTTACTGGGCCCTGAAAATTATGCACCCAATCCTCAATCCTTGGTCTTCTTAAATTTGCATGCAGATTAGAATTATAAAGGTACATCAATTCTAGGCCATCAAAGGCTAGCTTATAACTCAAATTACATTTGGGAATTGTTCTTACGTAACAGCATTTATTGCTCCAAAGATCATTGTGTAATAACTACTAAATAATCTATATGAATGTACATTTGGAAAACCATGAAAACTTTCTGAAAGAGCTCTGCTGTTTTATGTAACAATCATAAAATATTTCCAAAGGCATAAATAAAAATAATTACAACAGAAAATCTGAGAGACAAAAAGAAAATCTATGATAATATACCAATGCAATTTATTGAAAATAGATACACATGGAACAAAGAATAAAGGAACAGCAGGAAAATGTGCCACTATTGTGGTTACAGCTTCGAGGCAACACATTAAAATGCCAACCAGACACAGGTGGCAACAGATGTATCTACCACCAAAAAATAAAGTTAAATTAAATCAAGTGAAAAATTTCAAATGAAGTAACTGTTCAATGAAAAGGAAAAAAGAATAAAAATCACATCTGCTTACATGGCAATGAAAGGTGAAAGAGTCTGCTAAAAGTTTATGTTGAAAATTAAGATGGAGGTAATCTATGCACACTCATCCAAAAATAGAAAACAAGGAATTAGTGGACCAATGCCAATGTTAATTTTGAAGACCTCAAAAAGAAGAAAATTAAGATATGGTTGATAGGTTCTCTACAATATAGCAAGAAAACTCTGCCCAAATTCTAAAGGATACAAAGTCTACTCAATTTAATAACAAATGGCACGTTTCTGTTTCTTAAAAGACATATGCAGAATCTGTGAGTGCATTTTCTACTTTAGGGACCATTTGAATTAAAATCCTTAAGTTCTTATGAATGTTTGAGAAATACATACAGTAAATGAATAAAGCCCATAGTTATTTAAGGATAACATTTAAAATTATTTCCTAAATATTTAATATTAAAATAATAGTACATGCCGTCCAGTCATAATCAAAAAAGCCAAAGTGATTATGGAGTATTGAGGCTGAAAAGAGTTAGATCTAAACCAACCTCTTCTGGACTTCACTGTCAAGGAGAAGAATTGAGAGGAAAATTTTCAAAAAACATGTATATTTGTGAGATTGGTGATGAGAAAAAACCTGTGAAATATTGCCATTTCTTTGGAGTAAAAATTTTAAATGATTGGTTAGCACGATGTCCCTTTCTCGTCACACTCACATCTTTCTGATTTGCTCCTCACATCTCGGGCATGCTGAGGCTATAATGCCTTTCCATCTACCTTAGGTTTACTATTTTAAAATTGGTTTTTGATGTTGTGAACATGAAGTGTGTATTAATACAGGAGAATGGGGTGTGTATTTCTGAAAGTCCAGAGTTGTAGTGGCAAAGAAGAGATTTCTGGAGTCCCCTGCGTGCCTGCTTACAGAGGTTTCCTTCCTGACATTGTCAAATTCCAGAATTCTTGCCCTGGCTCCATTTTAAAGCCCAGAGCACAGTTAAGTGTCTTTTCCTGACCCTCATTTATACTACCATGAGGCTCCTTTGTAACATGAAATGTGCAATGTGACCAATTGTTGGCTGCCCAAACAAGCATATGTTAGGACTTTTCACTCTGGCCCCCTATACTGACACATCATTCACATTTAGTAAAGGAAGGTGCACTCTGCTAAACTCACCACATTCTTTACTTTATGGAGTCATAAGAGATATTCCACTAAGTCCTTTTGCTTGATCCCACAGAGACCATCCTATGAAAACTGAATTAATATGAAAGCAGGTAGAGTGAATATTCATTTATGTCATTTACAACAACATCAAATAGTGTCTCCAAGTGGAACAGATAAGTAGAGACCAATTTGGCAGGAGATAGGATGGGGAAAGAGAGTGGCTGATGCATGCTGAGAAGTAGGAGGAACAGTCCAGTTTTTAAAACATTGTTCTTCTTGTTAAGAGTCTGTTTATCAGATTAAACACAGTCAAGCGGTCAGCTGAGTCTAATAATTCAGCAACTGAGAACAGATGGAGAAAACCTGGATATGTGTCTGTGTGTACACTCACATGCAAAATCAGTTGCCCTGACTTTATCTTACTTACATCCATCTATTTATTGATTTTGATAGGAAGAGTATGTATTTTAGATACCTCAAGAATATCTCCTGAAATACTTCCATGTTCTTGCCTTTTGAAGAATCTTTTTAAAGAAGAAAAATAATTATTAGCAAAGAATCCACATTCCCAATGGCTCCATTTTCATCTCCTTAATCCAGTGTTAAAATTCATGGCTTGGGAAAAGTGGGATGTTTACAATGCCTATCTATACCATTTATCTATACCATTCGTTTTAATAGCCTGTTCACTTGAACAATTTCTAAGTATGTGGCAAAAGAAACTAAACTAAAATAATAATGCGTTATATTTGAAAACATCAGTATCCTGTACACAAAACTTCCATAAGTAATTCTTCCTAGATTGAGACTAGAACTAATCCATTTCCAAAATCATCTACATTTTTCTGAAGACAAAAAAAAATGTGGCTACAGATAATTGCCATAGGCTGCAAATATTCTAATTCATCTGATATTTCTCTCCTGTTGCATGTTGTATAGATAAATATAATGCATCAATATTAGGATAGCAGGTATTTTATTAAATGTTAATGCAGAATTCTAAATTTTCTAGATTTCACAGAAAAGCAAGCTACCGATAATAAGTAGTATTTAAAGAGAACTCTTATCTACTACAATCAATTGAGAAATCCAGGATATTAAGACCACAAAAATGATTGTTTAGATGATTTAATTATAGCACAACAGGCTTTTCTGCTGATAATGTTATAATGATGTTTTCATAACCCAATCTCAACAAACATAACTAGAGTACAAATGATGAGCACAAAAATCCATCTCATTTGTAGCTCAGACTAGTATTTCAAGTGTAATTTCTCTATTACTAATTTAGTCTGATTTTTATAATTCATCAGAATAAATCAATAACTGACTTAGAAATCACTTCTATGATTTTAAGTAATTTTCCACAGAAACATTAACAATACCACAAGCATTAAAATGTTGAGAAATATTTGTGTATGATGATGTCAGTGCATGTTCCTTTCCTCAGCTAATAAATTCTAGTATAAAGTTTTCAGATCTGTACACAAAAATGGATCATAAAAATATAATCATGGTAGAAACTATGTAGCAATTTTATGAATGTGGAGAAAGAGTTCAAATAGTACTTTTGTACTGTACTGTGTCCATGCAAAGCTTCATTCAAACAAACAAAAACAATACTGAATTTATTATGTTAAAATCTTTAAGGACACTCTGGTAGATGAGATCATTTTCCTGCATTTGTTCACACTCTCTCCTATCTCCATCTCTAAGGGACAGATATAATTCCCCACTCCTTGACTTTGATCCTTGCTGTGTGACTCTGCTTAAGCCAAAGGGGTATCTTAGAGGATTTAAGGCAACAGAAGCCTGGCATGTTTTTGCACAGGCAGGTTGCACTCCTGACTTTGGCCACAACAATAACATGCTTCAAGTACCCGGGAGGGCTGAGGAGGATCACAAATACATGGAACAGATCTGGACACCAGCTGCAGCTTCAAGCCAATGCTAGCCAAGCCCAGCCTACATCAGCTGAATTGCGTCTGACCAGCGGTGCATGAACAAGGAAGGCAACGCGTGGACCTGGGCCAGATGAGCAGCTTCTACATTGGCCTGTGTTCCCGCCTCCACTGCAACATCTTCTCCTACGACTACTCCGGCTACGGTGCCAGCTCGGGCAGGCCCTCCGAGACGAACCTCTACGCCGACATCGACGCCGCCCGGCAGGCCCTGCGCACCAGGTGAGGGCGACCCCGGGGGCAGCTCAGCCTGGGCACACCGGAGAGGGGACCAGGCCGGGGGCCGGGGGGAGGGGCGGGCTTCCCTGGGAGGAAGGTGGGCGGCCCTGCAGGAGAGGAGCCACAGTGGACGCATGCGGCCAGAGAGCCGGAAAGGTGAGCTCAGGCGTGCGGGTGCCGCCTCCACATGGCTGAGGTGTGGCCAGGTCCCCCCACACCCTGGCCTGTGGAGCCAGGCTCTCTGGGATCCCCTGGCCTGAGGACAGGAAGGGGCTGAGCTTGTCACAGGGGCGTGGACGCCACCCGGCGGGAGGGGGTGGGTGGTGTCTGGGGGGGGTCTGTGCACGTGTGGCTGGGAGCCCAATGGCCGAGGCAGCACTTGGGGCCAGGTGAGGCGAGGCTGCTGCATCGAGGTCCCGAGGCCTGGCCCATGAGGCCCTGTGGCTGTGGAGCTCGGCCATCCCGGGGCAGGGCCTGCTGGGTCAGGTGCAGACCCCCAGCACACACCTGAGGTCTGGGCCAGCCTCCATTCCAGATCCAGCCCTCCTAAACATCCAGGTCCCCAGCCCTGCACTTTCCTGGGCCCTTCACTGGTGTTTGAGCACCGCCCACCGCCCGGGCCAGTGCTGCTCTGGATCAGAAGACCCGCGTGGGCCTCTGGAGGCCTTTCCTGCTTGCCACCCGCTGGGGCTGTCTCGTCCTGGCCCTGCCCCCCACTGGTCTGCCCCGCTCCTGCAGGGGCCAGGCGCAGCTCTGAGAAGTCAGAGGCCCTGGGGAGGTGGGGTCCTCGATGCCTTGGCGATATCCCAGGCAGTCCCTTCTGTGGGCCTGGGAGCTGGGTCCCCTGGCACCACCCTGGCTCTGGGGGCCTCCTGGCAGTGTGGGCGCAGAAACCAAGCACCACTTCATGCAGCTTCCTCGGACCCCTCCTGTCTCTACTGCCCAGGGCACTGGCAGAGTCACACCCGCCATGGCCAGCTCTGAGCTCTGTCTGCTCGGCCATCTGTCCTGCTGCTGCTTTGTCCTGCAGGAACCTCGGCCCAGAGCCATGAGGGGGAGGCCAGATCGCGCTCAGGGCCTCCACTGAGGATGTGTCTTGTTTGATTGTCTGAGTGGTGACATCCAGGTGGCAGCTGGGGGTCCTGCCTGGAGCAGGTGACAGGGCTGGGCTGGCTCAGCACACTACTGGCCTTGGCTGCCAGGGAGCAGGCCAAGGAGGCTGAGGCAGAGCTGGGGCCACAGGCACCAGCCAGGCAGCATCCTTTGGGGCATGGGTGAACAGTGAGCTGTGGAGTGCTGCCAGGAGGCTGGGATTCCAGGCCAAGGAGGGGTACAGCCCTGCTGGTGGAGTCCGAATGCCAGGCAGATGGGACGCACACCTGCCCATGCTCCTGCCTCGCAGGAGGGCATCTGCCTGGGATCAGAGCCTGGAGCGTGTGGGAGGAGAGTTCTGGGGTTGCGGCATCGACAGGGTGGCAGGTGGGTCCCGCGTGGTTGGGACTGGGCACGAGGAGGCCTTGGTACTGGTGCTGGACCAGCTGGGCCAGGGGCCGCACACCAGTGACCTGGCGGTGGGGGTGGCCCTGGGTGGGAGCTGGTGGTGCTGAGGTGGCCGAGGACTTGTCCACTCCCAAGGGAAGGCGCTGGTGGGAGGAGGTGCTGCCCCCGCAGCCGCCACCCTCGATGTTGACCTGGGTTGGGCTGGCACCTCATTGAGCATGGGACTCCGAGAGTCCAAAATTGGGTGGAGACATGTGGGGACACAGCTGCCTGAATTCCTCATGGCCAAGGGGGTGGGCAAGGGCTGCAGGGAGGAAGAGTGTACCCTGTTCCGGCCAGTGCACCAGGAACGGCTTTCTAACCTGGGCAGGAAGGCATGAAGCATTCAGGATGTGGGGGGGCACACAGTTCCCAGTGTGCGCCCAGGGATGACCAGGAGAAGGAGAGGCGCCAGGGCTTCCCCTACCCTAGCCCGAGGGGGACTCCCTAGCCAGGATCCAGCAGATCCTGGCTAGGAAACGCCAGTGAACCATAGCGCCAGGGAACAGGACCACGCCGCCGGCTCCGCCCACCGCTGCGGTCTTGGGGGACTGGGGGTGGCCCTTGGGACTGCTGTGGAGCCTGGGCCTGACCCACTGACTAGGCTGAGCCGGGAGACTGGAGAGTCGCATCTGGAGCTGGGCCCGGGGACGCCCGCTGGCGGGAGGGGTGCGCGCGAGTCGGAGGCCGCGGCTGACCCTGCTCCGGTGCCGCCAGGTACCGCATCAGCCCGGACAGCATCATCCTGTACCGGCAGAGCATCGGCACGGTGCCCACCGTGGACCTGGCCTCGCGCTACGAGTCCGCCGCGGTGGTGCTGCACTCGCCGCTCACCTTGGACCTGAGCGTCGCCTTCCCGACACCAAGAAGACCTACTGCTTCGACGCCTTCCCCAAGTGAGCAGGCTGGGGCAGGGACAGGGGCGGGGACGGGGACTGGGTCGGGGACTGGGGCGGGGCGGGGCCCGGGCCCGGAGAGGTCTCACCCGCCCCACGCCCCTCCCGCAGAATCCAGAAGGTGTCCAAGATCACGTCGCCCGTGCTCATTATCCACGGCACGAAAGACGAGGTGATCGACTTCTCGCAGGGGCTGGCGCTCTAGGAGCGCTGCCCCAAGGCCGTGGAGCCGCTGTGGGTGGAGGGCGCCGGGCACAAAGACATCCAGCTCTACAGCCAGTACCTGGAGCGCCTGCGCCGCTTCATCTCCCAGGAGCTGCGCAGCCAGAGCGCCTAGCGGCCGCCGGGGCCCCAACCGGCCGGACTTCAGCAATAAGGCGGCCCCCGGACCTCACCCCGCACCGGCCTCCCGGGGGCTGCATGTGGACCCCCAGGTGGCCCGGGGGACCCCGCCCGGATCCAGGGGCCGTGGACGGTGTACAACAGAGCTACCCACTCCTTTCCTTTTGGAAGCAAGAAGAAATATGTGAAAACGGAAATTAAAGATTAAAATTTTTTTTTTAAAAAACACAATGTTTATTAATATACTCCAAAGTTGTGTTCTTTTTTTTTTTTTTTTTTGAAATGGAGTCTCACTCTGTCGCCCAGGCTGGAGTGCAGTGGCGCGATCTCAGCTTACTGCAACCTCCACCTCCCAGGTTCAAGCGATTCTCCTGCCTCAGCCTCCCGAGTAGCTGGGACTACAGGCGCGTGCCACCATGCCCAGCTAATTTTTTGTATTTTTAGTAGTTACGGGGTTTCACCGTGTTAGCCAGGATGGTCTCCATCTCCCGACCTCGTGATCCGCCCTCCTCGGCCTCCCAAAGTGCTAGGATTACAGGCGTGAGCCACCGTGCCCGGCCGTTTTGCACAGATTTTTTAATGCAGAATCATGTTGGCAATGGGTAATGGCTACCAAGGTGCCATCGTTCCACATTCCTGTTATTCAGTCATCACATCTACTATGTGTGAGCCATAATATCTTCTAAAATGAATTATAACTATGTTCGAATTGTTATTTCACTAAGTAATCTCTGCTACTTTAGTCTCTATTTCATCTCAACGGAATGCCTTCTGAGTTCCTATAATTGTGACTAATTCTCTGAGACAACATCAGCAGTATCACTATAAACTATGAAACCTACAAAGGGAATTTCCTCTTTTTCCTTTTTATTATAGAGATGCTTTTTTGTTTGTTTTCTGCAAGCAAGCACAGTCTTAATCAATTTTGTATGCCCATACCTAGGAGAGCCCCTGATTCATAATAAGACCTCAATAAGATTTGTTGAATAAAGTGAAAATAGGATTTTCAGCTTTCCCTCACCACTTTCTTCAAAACAGACTAGTTCATAACTGAAATAGGCATTGTTTCTAGAAAACGGTCACTCCAGCTGATCCCTTCGTTTAACCATTTTTGTACTCCCTGAATCTATGATGATACCTGGCACATAGTGGGTAAGTAATCAATATTTGTTCACTGAACTAATGGAAGGATGAGTGAATGAAACAATACAGGCATTTTAAAATTATAATTCAAAATTAACATATTACTTGTTATTAGAGTGATTTTAAACAGTTATGTTAAGTATATGATAATTAGGAAGATTTACTTTCCTGCTTCATTTAAATTTTAAATATAGTGATCAAGGTAATCATGATTTTCATTCATTTATTCAATAAATGCATATTTAATATTTTTTATCTCACATGATAGATTGCTCCTGGTCAAAGACATTACGATGGTATTATACATAAAGATTTGTTTTAAATTTACAGTATCTTGAAATTTTTCTCTTGTTAATCCACAAAGTATATTTATCCATTGGGAAATATACTTTTTAAAATGTCAGTTAATGATATTTTTATTTTCTATTTTATCTTATTATTATTGATACAAGATCTCACTATGTCACCCACTGCTGGAATGCAGTGGCATAATCATGGCTCACCACAACCTCAACCTCCCAGGCCCAGGTGATCCTCCTACCTCAGCCTCCTCAGTTGCTAGGACTACAGGTGCCCGCCACCTTGCCCGGCTAACTTTTTACTTTTTTTTTTTTTTTTTTGGTAGAGATGAGTTTTCACCATGTTGCCCAGGCTGGTCTTGAACTCCTGGGCTCAAGCAATCTGCCAGCCTCGGCCTCCCAAAGTGTTAGGATTACAGGCATGAGCCACCACTATGGGGCAGATAATGATATTTTTTCAGGAATCGGTAAAACATTGTCCTTCAATGAATTAGTGCAGAAGCATGAAAAAATCTATTCTGAGCAAATCTGTGAAACAGACATTGAAATTAGTATTCTAATAAGGCTTTTGTGCTGTTTGATGATATAAAATAATTTTGCTATGACAATACAGTTACTTAAATGAGAAGTATGAATAACTTGCTTTGATATGTTTGTGGTATGTTTCACTTCTTTTTTAAGAAGGGAAATTATTAAATTTAAACTCTCTATATATGTAAAGAGTGCACATCAAATATTTTAAAGCCCTGAAGAATTAGGTCTTCATTTCAAGAATTATTAAGTGTCTTAAGAACATATTTATTTTCTAGAAATGTTGAGCCTCTTCTTGGGTAATGTGATTCTTTTAAGCATTTTGAAAGGATTTTCTTATTACATTAAAAATGAATGTATGCAATAGGAAGTTACTAGGATAGAGTGAATTTAGCAGCTATCTTGCTTTGTTACATATGTCTTATAAATTAAAATTATATTTTCATAATGAAAAGCCAACAAGCTCATTTGCTTTTATAAGACTAAGAGAAAAGGAGTATTAAATGAAGTTAAATTAGATTTTACCATCTTTTTAATAAGTTTCAGGCCTGGTTTGATAATATATTCCCAGATACATAATTTAAAAATGATCTTTTGGCTGGGCGCGGTGGCTCACGCCTGTAATCCCAGCACTTTGGGAGGCCGAGGCGGGCGGATCACGAGGTCAGGAGATCCAGACCATCCTGGCTAACACGGGGAAACCCCATCTCTACTAAAAATACAAAAAATGAGCTGGGCGTGGTGGCGGGCGCCTGTAGTCCCAGCTACTCAGGAGGCTGGGGCAGGAGGATGGCGTGAACCCGGGAGGCGGAGCTTGCGGTGAGCCGAGATCCGGCCACTGCCCTCCAGCCTGGGTGACAGAGAAAGACTCCGTCTCAAAATAAATAAATAAATAAATAAATAAATAAGAATTTAGTGAGAGCTGGTTATAGTTTGGAACCTCATTTGTGAAATAAACCATATTTCAAAATATTTTAAGCAGAAATACATTTAAGTTGTAGCCTACAAATTACCAGAATTTGTCCTAGTCACCTAAATAAAAAATGTAAAAGTTCTACATTTTAACGTCCTTTCAACATTTTATGAACAGAAAACCCGGCAGGTAAACAGCTCAAGTCTGAATGGGAAATGATAACATATAAGATCAGCAGCATCCGCGCAAATAAAAAGTCAAATTTTTATCCAACACAAAACAATTACATACGCTTTAATCAAAAAGAAATTAGCAACGGCCAACCCCAATCCCATTACTTTCAAAAAAAGTCCTCTAACTTTCCTTTCCAGTTGAATGTACACTGATTGAAATGGTTGTTTTATGCGGACAATTGATTTTTTTAAATGAAATGTCTAATAGGGAAGTCAGTACATTACACTACCCATTCCAGAAAGCAGCCTTCCATTGAATTTACTCAAACTAATTGCTGAATTAGATGACCATGGAAAGTTACTGAGGGCATATCCAGCACTTTCTTCTGAACCAAAACTAAATCTGTTTTGGTCACTACTGCATTGCTATTCAAAATCAAGGACTGTTCATCTCTCTGGAATATTAGTATCGTAAGCCTGGGGAGGTGACAATATCATGTAATGGAGTTGTGGGGAAAGGAGTCAGAGTGTTGTGGCAACTCCCGGACCAAGGGAAAGAGTCTGTAGAAGTTCATAGAATCAGCTGACATGCTACGGTCAAAGAATTTGCAATTAGCAATTGACCAATCAATTTTGATTAACTCATTCTGTATGACTATCATAGGCTATTAAAAATAGGAAAGCGTGTTTCTAAAATGGGTTTCATAACAAGTGATTTAATGATAAAAGCTTGGACAGTTTTCAGAATTCAAAAATTCCGAGATACTAATATCTTTAAAAACTCCTGTCATTGTGTGTGTGTGTGTGTGTGTAAACACTACCTGTGTAATCATCTATTGAGATTTAAATTAGGACATTTTCTCAGTGTATCCCAGTTCTAAAGTTACTATTTATTATATTGCTATCCTAGGAACAGAGTGAGAAAAGGCAAAGAGGTAATTTAACACAGTCTTTTTCTGCTAAAATCAGAGTGTCTCTCATCTCTGCCTGAATCCAATACATTGTGATTACTGAAATACATATTATAGAATATCTACTTATTTTGTGGATTTAGGCAACGATTATGATTGTTGCTTTTCTCACATCTAAAAATCAAATTTATATTATACATGAAGACATTTTCTAAAGAACTTTTGGTCTGTATAAAAATGAATACTTAATAGAAACGTAATATTATTTTATGTTATTTGAATTGTTAAGTTTAAGAAAATAAAATGTTTTTAAATCTATTACTTTTAACAACACTGTAACATTTATTGGTTTTGGAATAAAATAGATCCAGAAAATTGCTGTGATATTACTTTTTATGTTTCTTATTGAAAGTAGGTCAATTAATTTCTAAGCAATGGGGCATTATAATTGTCAACTAACAGTGCTCAAGCAGTTAGGATTTTAACTGCTGACACTATTTTCTTTGAAAAATGATAGATGTCATTTAGTGTTTAAAGATAAATTGCTGCATAACAGTGACTTTTTTGCTGATAACTTTGCCATAAGCAAACATAACATGACCAAGAAGTTTCAAAGTGAGTTTTCTAGGCGAGCAAATCTAAATTAAAAAGGCTCTCATATTTCCTCAATCAGATATACTAACATCAACCAAGTGTTGTTTTCAATCTATAATATGAAAGGGCAATTGAGTCTGACTCAAACATCTGAAAAAGTTAATGTTAACACTTAGGAATATGTCTCCCTGTAGGAAAATTTTCACTGGCCGTGGGCTATACCACATTTATCACAGGTGATTTTCAAGGGGACAAATATTGCCCATTTCAGAAACAGGTTTGGAATGCAGGAAACTGCCAGAAAGTAACTGTGAGAGTTTGCACCATGGCTGACCTGGAGGAAGATGCCAGAGTCACAGATGGAAAAGGGAGGTGCATGACTCCCCTCTGTTGCCAAGGTTCCCATTCTCAATTCAGAAGGGTTTGCGGAGGGGGTGAAGGAACATTGAAGTTTCTGAGATATTCCTTAAGGACCAAGCTATAATTCACAGCTATCTATTTACATCAGATCTCAGCTTTTTTTTTTTTTTTTTTTTTTTTTTTTTGAGGAGGGTGCAGGAGGAGATGTGCGCAGAACATATATATACGGCTTGCCCTAAAGGATGAAATAAAATTGTGTATGCTATGACCTCTCTAGGAAGCCTCTAAACTTTTCTTATAAATTGTCTTCTAACTAAAATATTTCTTTTGGCCGTCCTTGGAGTACTCCCAGGTGACACACAGCTCGGGCTAACATTTCTACAGGACTGCTACCTTGATCTCTAGAGAGTCCAATGATGTTCCATACCAATATGTCTCAGCGTCACTGCCGAGCTTCCACCCACACCCTTAACACACAGAGAAAGCTGACACTTTCTGTTAGCTATAATTTTCCTTGAGAAAAACGTGGCAATATGTAGCAAAATACAATTATTAGTTTCAATATGTAGAACGTATTACAAGAAAAAAAAGATGCCAAAAACATCTTATGTCTACTGCTATTCCTATTAGTCTTTATTATCATGAAAAACTGGTCGCATCCTAAATATCCAACTTTCGGTGACTGGGTGAAGGAAAACTGTAATTTTTCCATATGATAGAATAGTATGCCAGCACTAACAACCAGAGAGCAGACTATTTAATGTCATGGTAAAGTATTTGTTTTGTGTGGTCAGGTGAGCAGTTCAGATCATAAAATCAAATGTACCCTATGATCTTATTTTTTGAAGTAAAGTACTGATGTATTTATATGTATAATTAAGTATAGAGAAAAGCCTAGATGGCTTCTCTTATAAGTCTTTTCATTGTTTTATAAATGGTATCAATATTTATTTTTCACTTTTTCCATCAGATTTCCTAGAATAATAAAATTCAATTCCCTCTGATGAGCATTCATTATTCTTTTTTTTTTTTTTTTTTTTGAGACGGAGTCTCACTCTGTCTGCTAGAGCTAGAGTGCAGTGGCCTGCTCAGCTCACTGCAGCCTCCGCCTCCTGGGTCATTATTCTTACAGTAAGAAAAAATGAATGTTACTAAGTATCTTCTCTGTCCTAGATCAACTAGGTATATACAAGGTGCCAAATACATTTAATAAAATGTTTTATTCATTCATAGCTTTTTGCAGTACAATTTTTTTTGTATGATTCCCTTGTCCTATCATCTCCACCAATAGTTTTGGTGTGAATTTATACTCTAAAGGAAAGGTGACAACCTTATACAATCTCAGGGCTTAAATACTATCCACGTGCTGATGCTTACAAACATACACCTCCAGTTGTGTGGTCTCCCTGAGTTCTGCACATCCCTCTTGGGCATCTAACAAGCATCTCACAGTTAACAAAACCACTGATTTCTAATCAATCCCAGGGACCCTCCGCCAGGCCTGCTCCTCTCTCAGAATTCCTTTTCTCACTTAGTGACACTATCATCCCACCAAACCTCGCTATCATCTTTCTTCCGTCTCCCAAATTTCCAATCCATTAACAAATCCCAAAAACCCCGCTTCCAATATTTGTCTAAATCTATGCACTTCTCAGCTTATCCACTCTTATTATTCTAGCTCCAATTATGTGGCCTTCTGTCTGTGTTACTTTCTTTTTTCCATTCTTGTACGCAGGGTCCAGTTTTCATAGTGAAGTCCTCATAAAACATGTATTAAATTGTATCAGCTTCTGCTTACAGTTATTTATTTATTTATTAAATTTGTGATGTATTTTTATTTATTTATTTATTTTGAGAAGGAGTCTTGCTCTGTCATCCAGGCTGGAGTGCAGTGGCGCGATCTTGGCTCACTGCAGGCTCCGACTCCTGGGTTCAAGCGATTCTCCTTCCTCAGCCTCCTCAGTAGCTGGCATTACAGGCACGCTCCACCGTGCTCAGCTAATTTTTGTATTTTTAGAAGAGATGGGGTTTCACCATGTTGGCCAGGCTGGTCTCAAACTCCTGACTTAAGGTGATCCACCCACCTCAGCCTCCCAAAGTGCTGAGATTACAGGCATGAGCCACTGCGCGCAGCTAGTTTCTGCTTACAGTTTTAAAATGACTTCTTAGTCTATTTAGGAGAAAATATAAACTCTTTACCAGAGCCTACTGGACTCCCCAAAACATGATGTATGTTTATCTCCTCCCTTTAACTCACTCTGTTTTAGCCACCTGGCCTTCTGTTCTCTGAATAAAATAAACTTATTCCTGCCACAGGGCCTTTACACCTACTTTGCCTTCTGCCCCAGACACAGTTCTCACAGGTTTTCCCATGACTCCTTTCTTCTCCTTATTCAGCATCAACCCAAACATCTGCCCCTGAGTGGCCTTCACCAGCACACTCTTCTTAAATATCTTTCCTTACCTCACCTTGTTTGGTTTTGTGCATAACATGTGTCAGCTACAATACTGGTTTCATTGGTTTGTTTATTTACTTTTTTCTTACAATGGAAAGCCCATGAGAGCAGGGTTGTGTCTGCTTTATTCACAACTTTAACCTCAGTGCCTGTACAGAACCAGGACCGTACTAGAAACTCAGTGAGCATTTGTTGAGTATCTTGAACGAATTAATTATTAAAACATTAAAAAGTGACATTTTCCAAGTAAAAATCTTTATCTACTTCCTTAGTGACTCTAATTGCAGACAATGCAAGGTAGAAATGAGGTTCAGATCAATGGCAGGCCGAGAAAGGCATTTTTGGGTGAGTCCATGCAGGCAATGTTTGCTATTGTGGCTGATTTACTTCCATATACTTTAACACAGGTATGTCCCTATTGTGAGACACGGCATTTTTCATAGTATAAAGGTGGAAAGCGAACTTCATGTTATAATAAAAAATAAAGTAAATTTTATACAAACACTAAGAAGTGATCATCTAAATCTACAGTTTAGAATCTGAAACCTATTCCTATGTTGACATCTTCCATGGCCCTACTCCTTAATTAATAAATTCTGACTTACAGAAGGCTATTTTCTGAATCCTTTCATAGCTGACATTGTGGTGGGTGCTGTTAGCCATCCCTTGATACTGACAGCACAATGGCCATCCCTGCCAGGGCACGCGTACACCATCAGTAGTCAAAAGTTTGGCAAAGTAGGCCGGGCGCCGTGGCTCACGCCTGTAATCGGCACTTTGGGAGGCCGAGGCAGGTGGATCACCTGAGGTCGGGAGTTCGAGACCAGCCTGAGCAACATGGAGAAACCCTGTCTCTACTAAAAATACAAAAAAAATTAGCCGGGCTGTGGTGGCACGTGCCTGTAATCCCAGCTGCTCTGGAGGCTGAGGCAGGAGAATCTCTTGAATCCGGGAGGCGGAGGTTGCAGCGAGCCGAGATCGCGCCATTGCACTCCAGCCTGGGCAACAAGAGGGAAACTCTGTCTCAAAAAAAAAAAAAAAAAAAAAAAAAAAAAAAAAAAAAATTGGCAAAGTAAAACACTTCTCTTCATCTCCAGGAGAGCAGTTCATGAAAGAGCATATTCTTAGATATTAAAGGTAAATTTTCAGTGACACCTGTGCAAGATATGACTTTCTGCTGTCCTCTATAAAAATCTACATTTCTATCATATAAATCTAGCAGATCTTAAAATGATAGACCTCAAAGGTAGCACTGCATTTGATATTCTCTTGCAACCCCAGAATGAAACTTAAGCATGAATAATTGGAGATCTGCACACTCCTATAAAGAATAAAGAATGGGACTCAAGTTCACACAGAAGCTAAAAAAGAAAGGCAGGATGACTTCCCTCTGCCACCTTGAAAAGGCTTTGAAACCTACGAAACAAGAAATGGGGAGGGGGGTTGCTGAATGGGTAATAAATATATGAGCCCTCCTCCTAAGGGTTTTTATAATCCTTTCTATCTTGGGTATCTATGTGTTCCTCTGTGAATGTGTTTTCTTATAACTGCACTTCTCATGGAACAGCTCTATCCTTATTATCTGTAACAGGGTTTCTGTTCTGCTTTCATCATGTATATATCTTAGAAAAACAATCTGAACAAATGTCCAGTTAATATGTATATTTATGTATTTATAAATTATATGTATATGCTATTGCACTAATACATTACATATTTTATATACCTTACTACAACCAAAGAAATATAAAAGAATGAGATGGAATAAATATATATTTAAGTTCTAGTTTTTCTTCCTCCATCCTCTGTGGAATGCTTACCCCACTTAAGAAACCCCTAAGATTTCACTGTGTCCTCACAGTGAGATTGTACTCACTCCTCAATGAGAGAACATTAATATTAAAGCTCTTTTGGTTTTATTATCAATTATGCGGTCGAATTTTCAAATAATCTAGCTGTACATATTATACTACAGTGGACGATACTGTGAGGTACCAACTGGACCAGCTCAGCAGAGGCTGGAAGGTTTAACTCATCAGTAGTCATGATACCACTTTTCTCTTAGACTTTTCCAGTAGAATTTATTTTTGGTTTTGCCAGCCAGGGTGAGAGCTGTTTTCTATAGGTATCAATGGTAGAATAAGCATTGTTGCCTCACAGAAGGGAGAAGTCTATGGTATTGGACACCAACCCCCAAGTCCTTCTTACATATCCTCTCCTTGAGAGATAGGGACTCGTGAAAAATGGAAACCCAGGAATTGGCTCTGCATAAACTTAAGCTTTGTCTTTGCAGAACAATTATGAGAAGCCTACTACTGACTCTGGAATATGTTGTATGCAATAAAAACTCTGTACTATTTAGGTATTGTTTCTGATGCACGATACTAGAAATAAGCATCAACTAGCCATGCAAAGTTCTGCTTAGGAAAAATGAAAGTATATTCAAATATAAATTTTTATAAAATGACTATTAACTAAAAAAAAAAATAGCCTTTCTTTCCCCAAACATCAATAGATGCAGAATGCAGAGTAATATTTACAACATGCAACATCATGTTTGGTTCTAATTAATAGACTATTTCAATGAAATATTATTTTGATAAATATGTTCATGCTTCATTTGTCATGTATTAAAAACAGCAATACACACTCACTTGATGAAAAATATTATTGAAGATAAAACAGAAGTATTTCATAAACAACCATTAGGTAGATTATAAGATAACATATAAAAGGTGATATAGGAAATAAATATTAGAAGTACATATTATTCATCTATGACCTAATTTGTATTGAAATGCTGCAAAAACCTTCATAGCAACATTCAGAGAATTACCTGAAAGAAAACTCTGGCATCTTCTATGGTCTTCTATGTGTTTTCTTTAATGGTCACAGTGATTCCCACGTTCAAACTTATTCACTGAAGACAATGCATGTCCTGAGATTCTCATTATTGAAATGCTGAGGCTGAGGCTTGCTTTTCACATATACAGATTGTCCAACATTAAAATACCACTGCATATTGACTGCATACAAAAATCATTAAACTAAATATTCCCAAAAGTCCTGATACAAATAATGTGTTACAATATTTTAGGCAGGATTACCTGATAGGGTTAACAAATTTATCAAGTATAACAGAAAGTGACCACTTATTATTTATTATTGGCTATACCAAAAAATATAGGATCAGGACTTACCTGAATAACATGCTTCAGTTTATCAATAATCTGATTTATCACAGGATCAGTTCCTTTGACTTTGACTTCAGGATTTCCAGACTGGGCTTTGATTCCATTTCCAACCACATGCTGAGTATAACTAGCAAAGGGAAATGTGAAAGATATATGACTTAGTACCTGATCAGAGTATTATCTGCCACAGCTATCTGAACATAGTTGAGGTCAGAATTTCCTCCTTTAGAGAATACACCAATGTATTTTTTTCTTGGAACAGAAACTGGCACAGCTATAATGCTTTTGCAGGTAAAATGCTAAAATGCTTATTGTGCCATTAGATCATTCTAAAAATAATGTTATTCTCTCAATGGACCCAACCAAAAATTACTTGTTTTTTAATACTACTTAACAATATGCTACAAAGAGTTGACATATCTCACTTTGTTACCAGTTCTTGCTGAATTATACATATGTCTGTACCCCTATTGTCTGGGTGAGCTTATTTTACGCAGTCCCAATCTTATTTTTTAAATATCAGGCTACTATATATGTGTGTGTGTGTGTGTGTATATATATATAGAATATGTATAGAGAATATATATAGGATACACATATAGAATATATATAGACTATATAGAATATACATATAGACTATATAGGATATATATAGAATATACATAGACTATATAGGATATATATAGAATATACATAGACTATATAGGATATATATAGAATATACATAGACTATATAGGATATATATAGAATATACATAGACTATATAGGATATATATAGAATATACATAGACTATATAGGATATATATAGAATATAGACTATATAGGATATATATAGAATATACATAGACTATATAGGATATATATAGAATATACATAGACTATATAGGATATATATAGAATATACATAGACTATATAGGATATATATAGAATATACATAGACTATATAGGATATATATAGAATATACATAGACTATATAGGATATATATAGAATATACATAGACTATATAGGATATATATAGAATATACATAGACTATATAGGATATATATAGAATATACATAGACTATATAGGATATATATAGAATATACATAGACTATATAGGATATATATAGAATATACATAGACTATATAGGATATATATAGAATATACATAGACTATATAGGATATATATAGAATATACATAGACTATATAGGATATATATAGAATATACATAGACTATATAGGATATATATAGAATATACATAGACTATATAGGATATATATAGAATATACATAGACTATATAGGATATATATAGAATATACATAGACTATATAGGATATATATAGAATATACATAGACTATATAGGATATATATAGAATATACATAGACTATATAGGATATATATAGAATATACATAGACTATATAGGATATATATAGAATATATATAGACTATATAAGATATATAGAGTATATAGACTATATATAGGATATAGATAGAAAATATATAGACTATATACAGGATATCGATAGAATATATATAGACTATATATAGGATATAGATAGAATATATATAGACTATATATAGGATATAGATAGAATATATATAGACTATATATAGGATATAGATAGTCTATATATAGGATATAGATAGAATATAGATAGACTATATATAGAATATATGTAGAATACAGATATAGAATATAGATACAGAATATATATGGAATATAGATATAGGATATATATAGATAGAATATAGATATACACACACATATATATTTCCTAATTAGGTCCTTCAAGAAATAAGTGATTAAACTTTTTAATAATGATAGTATCAATTGGACATGATAACAATAATATTATTAATACACTCTTTGATTTTTAAAATAAACTTGAACCCATTTCTTTTCATAGTCATAGAGGGGCTTAGAGATAAGAATTTCAGTATCCATTAGGGATTTGCAGTATACACCAGTAACAAATAGTAGAAAGAAAACAGTTATATCTATTTTGTTAATGTGTAATGATATTCTTTACTTTAGAAAATAAAATTATATATAGTATAACTATATATAATATATAATATATATTATATGTAAAATATATATAACTGTACAAGTCAATATCATAAATTATAACTGTACAAATTAAAATCATCAAATTTATAAGCAACGAAAATGTGCGAAGTATTTCCTAAGTAGAGGAAACAATCTGCTTTCGCCTAGGTTCACCTAAACAAAGATCTGGTAAATCATGTGGTAGGTAAAAAGGGTCATTTCACAGGTGGTGAAAGCCATTTGAAATTTCACTACCTTCCCCAAATTACAATCATACGTCAACTTAGAATTAATAAAAATATTTAAATTCATTAGTCACAAAGATGTCTTAAGTGAATGCTATATTCCAAGTCCTGTACTAGGTCTTTAGGATTATAAGAAGGTGTAAGACTCAATTTTTGTCCTCATAATGCTCATTACTTAACCAAGAATATAACAGATTAATTAACTCATTCATTTGTATGCTTATTCATTACATTTTACTACATTTAAAAAATACCGTAGATTTCAGCCATATAAATACCCTTGTTTGCCTGACAGAAGAGTGTAATATAAACACAACTGAACCGTTAAAATACAACATTATGAAAGTAGATGGAAGGAACTGCACGTGCCACGTGTGAGGAAAGATAAGACAGGTGGTAGATATTCTGGATATAGAGAAGCCCATTTGAACTCAGACACTAGGGAAAAACTAAAGGAGAAGTTATAACTTGAGGTAGCCTTGGATGTATTGAGGTAAGAAGAGGACATCTATGGTATGGTTAATGAGAACTTCAGGGCAAAGGATGTCATCCCAGCAAGGAAAACGGCAAAGGTACGTGAACAAGGCAGACAGGGAGAACAGGCCTCTATTCACAAAGCAGAGAGTACAAACGTTGGAAAGCAATGGATAGAGGGCCACACCCTGAAGATTCCACCCTGAATGTTGAAGACTCTCCACTGAGTGATATAATGGGCTCTGGAGATTCATAAGGGGGAAGTTGGCAGGTGGGTGTGGAATAAAAAAGCTACATGTTTGGTACAATGTACACTACTCAGGTGACAGGTGCAATAAAATCTCAGACTTCACCACTATACAAATTATCCATGTTACCTAAACCACTTGTGCTCCAAAAGCTATTGAAGTAAGACATTTATTTATTTATTTATTTATTTATGTTTATTTATTTATTTTTTTGAGACGGAGTCTGGCTCTGTCGCCCAGGCTGGAGTGCAGTGGCGCAATCTCGGCTCACTGCAAGCTCCGCCTCCCGGGTTCACGCCATTCTCCTGCCTTAGCCTCCCGAGTAGCTGGGACTACAGGCTCCCGCCAGTACGCCCGGCTAATTTTTGTATTTTTAGTAGAGACGGGGTTTCACTGTGTTAGCCAGGATGGTCTCGATCTCCTGACCTCATGATCCGCCCGCCTTGGCCTCCCAAAGTGCTGGGATTACACGCTTGAGCCACCGCGCCCGGCCAAGGCATTTAAAAAATGAAAACAAAACACTATCACCTGAGTCATTTGTTTGCTTACATTAAATATCATAATACTTTTCAGCAAAAAATATTATCATTTTAATGTAACTTTCGTTCCCTGTATTTGAGCGGAGTACTGCACTATCCATAAACACCCTCTGAATTTTCTACAGTAATGGAAAAAAATCTTTGAAAAAAATAAAAGAAGGTTCTATGTTTGAGAATATGGCTATATGAAAGGGGTTTCAAGAAATATCCAGTTCTTCCCAAGACGATGTACTTCCAGTGACCAGTTTTAAGAAGTGGAACAGGCCAGGCGCGGTGGCTCACGCCCGTAATCCCAGCACTTTGGGAGTCCGAGGCGGGCAGATCACGAGGTCAGGAGATCGAGACCATCCTGGCTAACACGGTGAAACCCCGTCTCTACTAAAAATACAAAAAATTAGCCGGGCGTGGTGGCGGGCGCCTGTAGTCCCAGCTACTCGGGAGGCTGAGGCAGGAGAATGGCGTGAACCTGGGAGGCAGAGCTTGCAGTGAGCCGAGATCACCTCACTGCACTCCAGCCTAGGTGACAGAATGAGACTCTGTCTCAAAAAAAAAAAAAAACAAAAAAAGTGGATCGAATATTTCCTAACGAGGTCCTTCAAGTAATAATAAGTGATTAAACTTTTTGATAATGATAATATCAATTGGACATGATAAAAATACTATTAATAAATCTTTTGATTTAAAAACTAACCTTGTACCCACTTCTTTTGTAGGCGTGGGGGGAGCTTAGAGTTAAGTATTCCAGTATCCGTTAGGGATTTGGCAGTATACATCAACAACAAATAGTAGAAGGAAAATAATTATACCTTTGTCTCATATATATATATATATATATATATATATATATATATATATACACACACACACACATAGAGAGAGAGAGAGAGAGAGAGAAACCATCTCTTAAATTACCTGTAGCACCACTATGTTATTCTTTACTCTCCCAATACCCCAAGTAGATTGCACATGTGACTCTTTTATTAATGTGTTGAATATTCATAATGATAATGAATAATATGAATAAATAAATTGATAAGTGCGTAACTATGAATTAGGCATTGCTTTACTCTTATCTGGAGATTTCAATTCATGATAAACATCTTTTAGTGACCATGAATAAGAAACTCATAGACCTGCATTAGAGAAATGCAAATCTAAACCACAATGAGATACCATCTCACTCCAGTTAGAATGGCAGTCCTTAAAAAGTCAGGAAACAACAGATGCTGGAGAGGTTGTGGAAAAATAGGAATGCTTTTACACTATTGGTGGGAGTGTAATTTACTTCAACCATTGTGGAAGACAGTGTGTGAATTCCTCAAGGATCTAGAACTAGAAATACCATTTGACCCAGCAATCCCATTACTGGGCATATACTCAAAAGATTATAAATCATTCTACGATAAAGACACATGCACACGTATGTTTATTGTGGCACTATTCACAATAGCAAAGACTTGGAACCAACCCAAATGTCCATCAGTGATAGACTGGATTATGAAAATGTGGCACATATACACCATGGAATACTATGCAGCCATAAAAAAGGACATGAGTTCATGTCCTTTGCAGGGACATGCATGAAGCTGGAAGCCATCATTCTCAGCAAACTATCACAAGATCAGAGAACCAAACGCCGCATGTTCTCACTCATAAGCAGGAGTTGAACAATGAGAACACATGGACACAGGGAGGGGATCATCACACACTGGGGCCTGTGGGGTGTGGGGGTGTAGGGGAGGGATAACATTAGGAGAAATACCTAATGTAGGTGACGGGTTGATGGGTGCAGCAAACCACCATGGCATGTGTATACCTATGAAACAAAACTGCAAGTTCCGCACATGTAACCCAGAGCTTAAAGTATAATTTAAATAAATAAATAATAAATAAATAAATAAACTCATAGACCTCAAAGTATGGGAAGCCTAACTGCCTACGGCCACTTGCTGCTTCACTCTAAAATCTGTTTCTGCATCTGCCCCTCAGTCAATGACTGAGGCCCACAGGGTGGCTAATGCAGATCCCTCTTTAGGAGACACAGGGCTTCTCTGAGGACCAGTCTTGGCTCAGGATTCCCTGAAGCCTTTTCTCACCCTTCCTTAGACTGTACATTACGCTCCAATGCTTCCACTCAACCTTCCTTTCCTCTTTCCTTCATTCTAGGTCAGACTTGCCTCATAGCTGAGACCTCTTCCAGGCTTACTCAGCTTCCTCTCCATTTTCTCTCACAGGGATTTCCCTTAATAAAATCCTCTTGTGTTTAACTCGTTTTCAACATCTACCTCTTGGAGGACCTGGACTAACCCACCACATAATGTTTGTATTATAATTACTTCCATTCTACAGGTTGAGAATCTGGGATCTGGAGAAGTTAAGCAACTTAAGTTACTCAAGTAAGGCCACACAACGTATATAAAGTGTGCTGCAAGGAGTTAAACCCAGGGAACGCACACTCCAAAACAGAACCATCAACAAGTACCAATCCTGAAACCAACTAATAAAAGGTAAAGATACAATTAGCTTGGTGCAAAATGTTATTTTTCTCTCTAATTACATTTTCTAAGGTTTCACTGTTTGTGATTAAGAAGGGATGAATGATTTTCATCAAAACTCTGCTCAACAAGCCGGGTGTCGTGGCATGCACCTGTAGTCCCAGCTACTGAGGAAGCAGAGGCAGGGGGATCACGTGAGCCCAGGAGGTTAAGGCTGCAGTGAGCTGTGATTACATCTCGTTGACCATGTGACCCTGAGTGTAACTCATAGACCTCAAGCCTGGGCAACAGAGCAAGACTCTGCCTTAAAAAGTAAAACTAAGCAAAACAAAACAATCCTGAACAAATGGTTGCACATAACCAGCTAAACAGTAATATAACAGTTGTTGGCAGGGTGAGAAGAAACTAGCAGACTGTAGGTTTGTCATACTGTTTTTTTGTTTCTCCAGAAACACAGATATAATATAGGCAATGAAAGCTGAGACTCATCTCTTAATTTCAGTTAAGCTATTAATTGATTTACATCATTTACTTACAGGTCAGAAAAGTTTCTTTCAAAAGGCAGGAATGTTGTTTCATGTTAATCTAAGGACTTGCTTACCTTTTGTTTCTGTTCTTAATGATCACAGTTACTAATACAGTTAAATAATATTTAGATAAAATACATTACAATTATAGCTGATCAAAAATCTCATTCCAAGCTGTTATATTGTTGACTATCTCATGATCACTCTTCTTATGAATCATGTAAATAGGGAAAAATACTGCAAAGTAGACCCACGTTACTTCAAATGAAATATGATTTAATAAAATCAGTTATTCTTTGCCAATTTTGTAATGTTCAAAATAACCACAATTGAAATAGTGATACATACACATCAGAACAGTTCAAATGAAAGAGAGAAATGATACCAAGTGTTGGCAAAGATGCGGAGCAACTAGAACTCTCTCCCATTGTGGATGGAAATGTAAACTGATGGACACCACCATTTTCCATGTATGCTAAATCTGACCATATTCTATGACCCTGAGCATATACCCAGCAATATTTACCAAAAGACAAATACATGAATGCTCAGAGAGGCACCATTCAAAATAACCACAAATTGAACTTATATTTGTATAATGATATAGTATATAGCAATGAGAACCTAACAAATTACAACTATATGCAAAAAGATTAACAAATCTTATAAACTAAATATTGAATGAAAGAAGCAAGATACAGAACATATTCTACGATCTAATTCACTAAAAATTGTAAAACTCATCAGTTATGTTCCAAATCACCATAAGAGCTATCCTATGAAATAGTGTCTAGAAGAAGTAATAATATAAAATTTCCTGATTTGAGTACTGGATACACAGAAGGGCTAAGTTTGTTTAAAAACAAAAGAAGTATTGAGCTGTACAGTTAAGATTTGGGTATTTTACTGTTTGTATGTATTTTCAGCGTTAGAAAATTATGTTAAAAAGTCTTTATGCTCTTTTTCTTAATATATTTACAATAGACAAATTTTCATTAAGCCACAGTATAAATAAAAAAGACCCACACAGGTATTTTTAACATGGATGAAGTGGTTCTGCCATCATTAAATGAGTACTTTAGGATGCAAGTCTGATATAAAAACTTACTTCCCTGAAGACTTTAATTTTGCATGCAAAATACACGGTTTCTAAATTAAATTTTTTTGTAACAAAGCGTTTTTGAGTTCCCCTCATGAAATTTTAATAAATCATTAATTTCTTCTTTTTCTCTTTCATGCACAAGCAGTGGATAAACATTTCAAAGATCCCTACAGAAGTTTCTTCCCTTGAAATACTGTTCACATGACAATGAGAAGGATGGAATAAAACACAAAAAAGGTAAGCAATTTTTTTTTTTTTTTGAGGCGGAGTCTTGCTCTGTCGCCCAGGCTGGAGTGCAGTGGCGCGATCTCTGCTCACTGCAAGCTCCGCCTCCCGGGTTCCCGTCATTCTCCTGCCTCAGCCTTCGAAGTAGCTGGGACTACAGGCGTCCGCCACCGTGCCCAGCTAATTTTTTGTATTTTTAGTGGAGACGGGGTTTCACCGTGTTAGCCAGGATGGTCTCCATCTCCTGACCTTGTGATCTGCCCGCCTCCGTCTCCCAAAGTGCTGGGATTACAGGCTTGAGCCACTGCGCCCGGCCAACAGGCAAATTTTTCGTTGGGGAAGTAGTAGACCAACCATCTGTGCTTATTTCTTCTAAACAGAGCTGGGAATGAGTGACAGCAGTTGAACAGGAACACTTGCTCCCCAAGCACTACTTGTTTTTCATGAAGAAGGAAAAAAGGCAAAAGCCCTGCTACATTTACATTCGCAAAATTGTTTTCAAATGAGGATTAACAAGATGTTAGTTCCCTCTCTGTTGAACACATAAAATATTAAAAGGCAGTGCTAATACATCTATATACAGCACATCAGGAGGAAGGAGGAAGTCATTTCTCCTGACTTTACCAACTTGTCTTATTTGAAACTGATACCGTGCCCTATTGGCTGATAGGAGTTTCACTTTATTTAGAATACAATAGAATTTGGCTCAGATTCACACCAAAAGTATAGTATTTTGATGTGCACTTACACGATTTCAGGGGAAAACAATATCTGGAATGTGACCCTGGAATTCATTACAAGTCAGCTAAAGGGATCTCTCTTAGAATTTTTTCATAATTGGACTGGGACAGGATGTAAGAATAAATCATTAACAGTAGATGAGGAAAACACTTGACGAGAGCTTTCTCGTCTTACCATTACTGCTCTTTCTATCAGAGGTTAAAGACAGAATGGGGACCATGTTGTGGTTGTTATTCTTGTTGTTTGATTGGTTTGTTTATTATGTTCTTGCAGGACTTGGTTATGTGGCTGGATATGAAAATTCTTTCCATTTCCAGAGTCATACATCTCCTAATTTCTAGGAGATTAAATACTGGTTTTATCTTTGGCTCCAGTAAAAATGTTGCTATCTTGGATTAAAAGAAGGTTGGGAAATACGTTGTGTCTATTCACCAGTGAATGGGAACCCCTTCTACAACAACAAATTTTCCATTCAAACCATTTCTAGGCCTCCCTTCCTGGTTCTGATAGCAAATGTGAAAGCAAGTACTAGAGATTTGGGTTTTGTAAGTTTCCTCAAATACTTGGGAAATACTGGATTCCGTTGCCAAGTGTTGCCTTTTGTACATTCAGCTTCTACACAGCACGTTTTCTCTATGTTGAAAGTCCTAATCCTTGAAATCTCAGAATGGAAAAGAGTTATATGACTAATTTTATGTGCCAGGATTATGGGAATAAACTTTCATGGAAGATAGGAAGCTTACAGGGCATCTAGAGAAAGGAGACATCTGTAGAATCAATTCAGAATGATTAAGCCCCTTGTGATCTCACTATCTCACTTCAATTGTTAAGCCACAAAACTCTTTTTAAGTTAATCTCTAACATTTATTTGGCTTTATAATTACATATAAATAATGTCTAAATTTGACACCTATGTTTCCAAACTTAATAATGAAGTCAAAATAAACAGAATTAAGGAGAGCTTATTACGATCTTTATTGTTATTTATATATAACAAATTTCCTATTAAGAATATAATATTTTATGATATCTTATGGATGTCATTAACATTGCTTTAATAAAGGTATTATCATGCTTTGTACAGCAACCAACACGAAAATGTTACTATACCACTGCAATAAATAGAATAAAAACATGTTCAGAAAGACTTAGAAACTCATTAAAGAATGGATGTTAATCACTTTTCACCCTAACTCCTCATTTGGCAAGGCATGAATCTATGCATTCCAGTTTAGACAGGTGGCAAGTAAGTAGTCCCATTGCATTTCATAAAATAAGCAGCTGCGTGAATTTGAAAGATACTATTTCCACATGAAAAGCTAATGACTGCACATGTAAAATCAGTAGTGTTTAGGAAGCTGTCATTTAAAAAACAACAAACTACCTAATTAAAAAGTAGCACAAATAAACTTTTCCCTATGTAAAAAATAGAACATTGCTTAGCCTTTTCTTAAACCCCTCCCCAATTCTTACCAAGAAAGGATAAATACCTTTATTATAGTCAAAGCTCTGTTTTTATGGTTTTTGAATTTTTTAATCTAAAATTCAAAGCAAATAATCAATCTTTAATTTATATTTATCCCAATTTGATTCAAAGTGACGGTCCAAAAGTAAAATGATCAATTATAACTATAATCAATCACAAATAATGCTATGTGAGTTTGAAATGTTAATCTAAGTTGCCTTTTCCAGGTATGCATTTTAAAATTAAACTCTTCTCAGTAAGATCAAGGCTATCCTTCATGGATTTATGATGTTTGATAATCACCACGTTGTACTGATTTGCTGTCTCACTTCACTGTTTGATATCAACATATGAAAGTAAAAATGCTATTTAGGGGATAACTATTATCTGAGCACTAATAAATTAAACGCTATTTTAAGCCAACAACAAAATTGTTTAGGGTACAATTTTTATTTAACCAACTGTCCATTATAAACATTATAAAATTCTGAAAGATCCTAGAATCTTATATAGCTTTTTTGTATTTTTTCAAATGTAATTGACACCAGCATGAATTAAATTTCATATTTAAAAAGCTTCTGACTACATTACAACATACTTTAAAATTACTTGCAAGATATGATAATTCTAAGATTACCCACATATCATGCAAATGAAACAGCCAGGTACTTCCTACCAACACATGATACAATAAAATCCAGAAGAACTTCTGAATTAGAGTGTAGTAGTTGCCTAGGGCCATCATACCTAATTATCACACACTTGGTGGGTTAAGAGGACAGAAATATATTCTCTCATAGTTCTGAAGCCTGGACCTCTGAAATCAAGATGTTGGCGGGGCCACACTCCCCCTGAAGACCCTAGGGAAGAATTCTCCCTCGCTTCTTCCTGGTTTCCAGTGGCTCCTGGCAATCCTTGGCTTTCTTTGATTTATGACTGCATAACTCCAATTTCTGTCTCCATCTTCACATGACCTTGTGTGTGTCTTTTCCTGTATGTTATAAGGACATTTACACTGGATTTAGGGCCCACCTTCACCCAGGATGACCTCATCTCAATCACTGGGTTAATTATATCTGCAAAGACCCTACTTCCAAATAAAATCACATTCTAAAGTTCCTAATGGACATAAATTTTGGAGGTACGGTATTTAAATCACTGCACAGAACATGTAAAGACAAAAATCTGGAAGCTACCTGAATGAAAATGGATATTCCCTTGAACTTCGACAAAATCATATTCTATTTTTCCATGAGAAACATTTTATTAATCTAAAACAATATTCATATTTCACAAGTACACCTCTTAAATTATAGCTTGGACTTAAGAAAAATAATTAGCTTTGGAAATTATCAGTACATGATATCTAGTATTTCCTATATTTTTAAGAACTTCTACCTCCTAGCAAAAATAAACAATGCAATGGATAATTTCTGTGTTCTAAATTCACACACACAAACAGGAAAGGGACTTTAAAAATGATGTGTTCTCTTTTAAAGCAGAAGCCCAACCACCTGCTCTGAATCTAAAAGTTTCCTGAAAGCAATGAAGGGCTAGTTTATTATGAAGGTGTTGATAGCTGATTCTGTGGAGACTCACACAGAAACAAAGAATAAATTTTAATCACACTTAATGCTAATGTGGTAGTAAGGTTGTGACAATATTCAAATATGACTAATTTCATTGAATTAACTACACTCGGGCTTAGCTTAGTTGTCCAAATTTATTACAAATAGCTCAAACTAAATAATTCAACTCTTCTGTTTTCTATTTATTTTTTGTTGATGCTTAAGAGTAAAAAGATATTTCAACTGAATTTTTTTTTTTTTTTTAGCAATCAGTTCTCTTGTTTTATCACCATAAGACTGTAAACGGCCGTAACAGGTCACTGAATCTAGCACTGCCTTCAACAAGAAATGCACCTAGAGCAGGAATATAGTACTTGGCACTCATCTCTAGACCTATAACCTAACAGATTTTTTTTTTTGTCTGTCTTTGGTGAAAGTAACGTAAATTTAGAGCTGGAAAGGACCTTAGAGGTCATCTAGTCCCACCCAAGCATCTTTGAAAACAAAATAAAGAAGTGTGTTGGCCTGATGCAGTGGCTCACGCCTGTAATCCCAGCACTTTGGGAGGCCAAGGCGGGCAGATCACAAGGTCAGGAGATCGAGACCATCCTGCCTAACATGGTGAAACCCCGTCTCTACTAAAAATACAAAAAATTAGCCGGACATGGTGGCAGGTGCCTGTAGTCCCAGCTACTCGCGAGGCTGAGGCCAGAGAATGGAGTGAACCCAGGAGGCAGAGCTTGCAGTGAGCCGAGATCGTGCCACTGCACTCCAGTCTGGGCAATAGAGTGAGACTCCGTCTTAAAAAAAAAAAAAAAAAGAAGCATGTTTATTTCATCATTTTGTACTTATACACTGTGTATTTCCAGAAAAGCCCCTGAGACAGCTTAGAATGAAAGGCACAGACACTATAAAACAAGGGCAAAATGACAGAATAATGAAGAGAAAGAGGTGACAATTACATGGGACAACCTAGGGAAGGAAACACTACCCTTCAGCCTAAAATTTAGTCCTAAGCCCCTTGTTCTTAAAGGCCAAAAGGAAAACCAGAATTCAAATAGGTATTGTTAGTTAATAAAATAGTATCTGGATATATCAGCAACTATTTTTTGGTAACTCTAAACTCAAGCAAAATATATGTCTTCAAGCAACAGACAATGGACAATATAATAAAAATAATCTTCCATAGCAATTTCCAAACTTTTAAAGATGTAAGAACAAATGATCTTTTCTTACAGGATGCTTAGTTGAAAGCTGCCCGCATGATGGTATTTTAAACTACATGATGTTAAATTCCCTGCATGATGGTATTTTATTGGGACCTGGTTATATGATTTGGTGAAGAATGTAACCTTTGAGAACTTAGAAGAGTGAATGGTTAATATTTCTCTGAATTTTTTTGTTTTTAATTGATATTTTATTTTATCCCTCATAGACAATATATGCCTGGGAAATACACTGAAGTATAGTAAAAAAGAATCTAAGGGTTAAAGTGTTGAGGTAAATGAGAAAGCAGAGGTTGTGTCTGAAGAACCGTGTGGTCGCACTGCACCACACAGCAAACAGAAATATGGGTGAGCACAGGCCGGGCGCGGTGGCTCAGGCCTGTAATCCCAGCACTTTGGGAGGCCGAGGAGGGCGGATCACAAGGTCAGGAGATCGAGACCATCCTGGCTAACACGGTGAAACCCCGTCTCTACTAAAAATACAAAAAATTAGCCGGGCCTGGTGGTGGGCGCCTATAGTCCCAGCTACTTGGGAGGCTGAGGCAGGAGAATGGCGTGAACCCGGGAGGCGGAGCTTGCAGTGAGCCGAGATCGGGCCACACCACTCCAGCCTGGGGGACAGTGAGACTCCGTCTAAAAAAAAAAAAAAAAGAAGTTCACCCTATGCAGGCACTATAACTACGAGTCCCTCCCATCTGAGCCTTGCCTTCCAGACAACCCCACCAATACATAAGACAGAAAAAAAGCACCTTGCACCTTCCAGACTGACTTGTTTGCCAGCCGCATAGCACTGAGTCACCCTAGTTAATGATATGAGAGAGGAAGAATCACTCAGACGAATCCTGCTGGAATTTCTCACCTATAGGATCCATGAGATACAATGAAGTGGTCGTTGTTTTACCTTATTAAATTTGGGGTAGTTTCTTTTTTCTTTTCTTTTTTCTTTTTTTTTTTTGAGACGGAGTCTCGCTCTGTGGCCCAAGCTGGAGTGGTGTGGCCCGATCTCGGCTCACTGCAAGCTCCGCCTCCCGGGTTCACGCCATTCTCCTGCCTCAGCCTCCCAAGTAGCTGGGACTACAGGCGCCCACCACCAGGCCCGGCTAATTTTTTGTATTTTTAGTAGAGACGGGGTTTCACCGTGTTAGCCAGGATGGTCTCGATCTCCTGACCTCGTGATCCGCCCGTCTCAGCCTCCCAAAGTGCTGGGATTACAGGCGTGAGCCACGGCGCCCGGGCCATTTGGGGTAGTTTCTTAAGCAGCAATAGTAACTGTAACACTGACTCACTTCTACTGCCACCAATCACTATCCTCCTTTCCTGATTTACTTCCTCGTATGTACCATCTTTTAAAAAACAAATAATTAGGCCGGGTGCAGTGGCTCACGCCTGTAATCCCAGCACTTTGGGAGGCTGAGGTGGGCGGATCACGAGGTCAGGAGATCGAGACCATCCTAGCTAATATGGTGAAACCCCATCTCCGCTAAAAATACAAAAAATTAGCCAGGCGTGGTGACCGGGGCCTGCAGTCCCAGCTACTCGGGAGGCTGAGGCAAGAAAATGGCGTGAACCCGGGAGGCGGAGCTTGCAGTGAGCTGAGATCGCGCCACTGCACTCCAGCCTGGGCGACAGAGGGAGAGTCCGCCTCAAAATAATAATAATAATAATAATTAGTGAAAACTTCAATAACTTTTGCACCAGCCTAATAGTTGTAAAGAAACTATAAGCAAGTTCACAAAAGTTAAAACAAAAAATCAGCTATGAGAAACAAATATGAATTATACCACTAACTGCTGAAAAGAAAGACTCTAAGACTGAAATTACCAAAAAAAAAAAACCCTCAGCTGAAAACAAAACAAATAATCAAACTCTATTACTCTACTCTATTTCCATGAAGTGTACAAACTGTTCCTGTAAGTTTAACGATATTAAAATGTACAAAGATTAATAAAGTAAAAATCAAAGACTATTTATAACATCATCGATTTAAGTAGATTTAAGTAGATTAAGTAGAATTTTAAAGGAAAAGGTATCACATGGAAAACAATAAAATATTTAATATTACAAAGCAAAACACTAAATGAACGTCACATTTAATTGTGAAATCATTAGCATGTTTCTCCGTTATGACTTATTAAAGGATAAAATTTGAGCATTATAATGTATAAGATTTTTTGGCCGGGCGCGGGGGCTCACGCCTGTAGTCCCAGCATGTTGAGAGGCTGAGGCGGGCGGATCACGAGGTCAGCAAATCCAGACCATCCTGGCTAACACGGTGAAACCGTGTCTCTACTAAAAAAATACAAAAAAATTAGCCAGGCGTGGTGGCGGGCACCTGTAGTCCCAGCTACTTGGGAGGCTGAGGAATGGCGTGAACCTGGGAGGCGGAGCTTGCAGTGAGCCCAGATTGCGGCACTGCACTCCAGCCTGGGCAAGAGAGTGAGACTCCCAATCCAAAAAAAAAAAAAAAAAGAAAAGAAAAGAAAAACCGACTTTCATTAAAGCCTCCTGCAGAAATTTGCATAAGTAACAAGGAGCCAAATGTAATCACCAAGACAATGGGGAAAATGTCTCCAGAACATTAAAGACCTTAACACCTTCACGGCAGCTCTTTCCATCACAGGCTCAAAAGCCTAGTATGGAAAAATGATTTCCTGGAGCAGGTCCAGGTCCCCCTGCTGTGTGCAGCCTAGAGACTTGGTGCCCGGCATTCCAGCCACTCCAGCCATGGCTGGGGTGGGAGACACCAGGCTACAGCTCAGGCCACGTCTTCGGAGGTTGCAGCCCCAAGCCTTGGCAGCTTCCACAAGATGTTGAGCCTGCAGGCGCACAGAAGTCAAGAATTGAGGTTTGGGACCCTCCACCTAGATTTCAGAGAATGTATGGAAACACTTGGATGTTCAGGCAGAAGTTTGCTCTGGTGGGGTGCGGGGGCAGGAGCAGGGGCTCATGAAGAACCTCTTCCAGGGTAGTAGAGAATTGAAATGTGGGCTCTGTCTCCCATACAGAGTCCCTACTGGGGCAATGCCTAGTGGAGCTATGAGAAGAGGGCCGCTGCCCTCCAAACCCCCAATTGGTAGATCCACAAACAGTTTACACTGTGTACCTGGAAAAGCCACAGACAATGCCAGCCAGTGAAAGCAGCCAGGAGGGAGGCTGTACCCTGCAAAGCCACAGAGGCAGAGCTGCCCAAGGCCATGGGAGACCACCACTTGCGTCAGTGTGACCTGCATGTGAGACACGGAGTCAAAGGAGATCATTTTGGAACTTTAACGTTTAATGACTGCCCTATTGGATTTCAGACTTGCATGGAGCCTGTAGCCCCTTTGTTTTGACCAATGTCTCCCATTTGGAACAGGTGTAAATACATTGGGGGGTACCCAATGCCTGTACCCCCATTGTATGTAGGAAGTAACTAACTTGCTTTTAGTTTTACAGGCTCATAGGTGGAAGGGACTTGTCTCAGATGAGACCTTGGACTGTGGACTTTTCAGTTAATGTTGAAACGAGTTAAAACTTTGGGGGACTGTTGGGAAGGCATGATTGATTTTGAAATGTGAGAACATGAGATTCAGGAGGCGCCAGGGGAAGAATGATATGGTTTGGCTATGTCCCTACCCAAATCTCATCTTGAATTATAGCTCCCATAATCCCCATATGTCATGAAAGGGACCCAGTGGGAGGTAATTGAATCATGGGGATGGGTTTCTCCCTGTGTTGTTCTTGTGAAACCGAATAAGTCTCACAAGATCTGATGGTTTTATAAAGGGGAGTTCCCCTGCACATGCTCTCTCTCTTGCCTGCCACCATGTAAGACATGTCTTTGCTCCTCCTTTGCCTTCTGCCATGATTGTGAGGCTTCCCCAGCCACGTGGAACTGAGTCCATTAAACCTTTTTTTCTTTATAAATTACCCAGTCTCAGGTATTTCTTCATAGCAGTATGAAAGTGGACTAACACAGTATCAAACCCTGGTTTGGGGTAATAATCACTACCTTCTAGGTAACCAGAATGGAAAAAATATAACAGAAAAAAAATCCTAAAAATCATCCTGCGTACAAGAAAAATGAAACTGTATGCTGAATTCTCAGGGGGAGAAAACGTATTTAAAAATATATGACTTTCAAACCACAAGAAACTATAGAACATTGCTTTAAACTATTTGTCTATGAACAGTATGTAGAAACACATGGAATTTAGGAAATAGGAGATGAAGGCTACAATAACAAAAGAGGCTCATATCACAAAATGGGAGATAGCTGAGATGAGGCTTCTATGAAAACTAAAGTGCAAGGGCAGATTTTCCATCCACAGGGAAATCCGTGGAGAAAGAAACTGACACACTGAAAAGTTCAAGCAGCAATTGAATCAGAGCTCTGGAGGGCAAAGGAAGAGATGAACTAATGACAGAGAAGAAGGCGGATGGGTATGCCAGAGACCACAGGTTCCACCTCGAGAATAGTTTGTGTACTGGGGAAAGACACAAGGGCAAGGAGATCTGAAACAATAATCAAAGCTATCACTGAAGTACGAATAATAAAAGCACCAACCAGTTTCTAGGCAGGGAGGGGGAAGAAACAAGGAAGAGTTCTCCATATTTAAATAACAACTAGCCAAACTCCTGAATTTTACAAATAAAGAAAAAAACTTCCTTAAAAATAAAAAGTCAGGCTTAGATAAGACTTTTTTTCTTCTCTGTTAACATTATTAGAAGACATAAAGATTTTAAGAGAATAAAAATATGATCAAGAGGATCATAAATATCAGGTTGTCTTTACCTGAGTACGAAGCAATGGCATCTGTATATCCAGCACTGATTTGTCCTTCCAATAAAAATTTACTCAAAGACATATGGGTACATATTAGAAAAATAATCAAAATTAATATTTCAAGGATTAGGAAGTTGTGAAGCCAAAATCCTGCAAGGGGACAATTGATTCAGTTAATGGAAAGATTTATTTTTCATATTTTATGATTATTTACCAAAATAATATTTTTAAAGTATAATTATAAAATAAAAATAAAATATTTAACAATACTATAATTATAATCATGTTCCAAGTTATAAAACAAGATAGTGAGAATTGTCAGTAAGATAGTAAGAATTCTAATACTATCTCAAAATAAAGGATACAGAAGGTTTCAGGGCAAGAGAAAGGGAAAACCTTCTATATCCTTTAGTTTGAGACAGTATTAAAGCTTTCTGTAGGCTCACTCAAAATGTCCGGATTCTGACCACATTTGAATATGAGCACTCCCAACCTGACGATTCCTAGTCTAAGCCACACATATTTCCTCTTATGGTTATTGCAAAAGCTCCCTAACTGGTCTCCCAGCTTCTGCCGTTGATTCCTTTCAGCTATTTTTTACACAAGTGCCAGAGAAATCTCAGAAATGCAATTCAGATGATATCACTTCTTTGCTTATATCTTTCAATGTTGTTCCCCTCTACGTGTTCATGTATTCTCCCCTTTGACTCTCGCTTCTAAGTGGGAACATTTGGTTTTCTGTTCCTGCATTAGTTGGCTAAGGATAATGGCTTCCAGCTCCATCCATGTTCCTACAAAGGGTGTGATCTCATCTTTTATGGTGGCATAATATGCCATGGTGTATATATACCACATTTTCTTTATCCAGTCTACCATTGATGGGCATTTATGTTGATTCCATGCCTTTGCTACTGTGAATAGCGCTGCAATAAACATATGCATGCATGTGTCTTTATGACAGAACAATTTATATTCCTTTGGGTGTATACCCAGTAATAGGATTGCCGGGTCGAATGGTAGTTCTTTTAGGTGTTTGAGG
This sequence comes from Homo sapiens, assembly GCF_000001405.40. Taxonomy (NCBI): domain Eukaryota; kingdom Metazoa; phylum Chordata; class Mammalia; order Primates; family Hominidae; genus Homo; species Homo sapiens. Next base: position 125,141 of record NW_003315943.1, on the reverse strand, counting down.
AATCACCACACTGTCTTCCACAATGGCTGAACTAATTTACACTCCCACCAACAGTGTAGAAATGTTGCCTTTTCTCCACAATATTGCCAGCATGTTATTTTTTAGCTTTTTAATAATAACCATTCTGAATGGTGTGAGATAGTATCTCATTGTACTTCTGATGTGCATTTCTTTAATGATCAGTGATGCTGAGCTTTTTTTCTACGTTTGTTGGCTGCACGTATGTCTTATTTTGAAAAGGAGGGTGAAAGCTGGGAGGAGGGAGAGGATCAGGAAAAACAACTAGTGGGTAGCAGGTTTACCATGTGGGTAACAGAATAATCCGTACAACAAACCCCCATGACACAAGTTTACCTACATAACAAACCTGCACGTGTACCACTGAACTTAAAAGTTAAATTTAAAAAATAAAAAATAAAAAAATCTTTCAATGGTCCCATGTCAGTTTGAGGAACAGCCAAAGTCCTTAAAATGACGTACAAGGTGCTCGTTCCATCATCCGTCTTCTCATGTTTATTTCTCTGCCACCATCTACTAATACTCTTCCCCCTTCTCATTCTACTCCAGCTATAATGGCTTCCTCGATGCTGTTCTAAGAATAAGTCCACATGATTCCGACTCAGGGCTTTTGCCCAAGCTGTGGTCTCTCTTTGGAATGCTCTTGTTTCAGCAGAGCACGATTCCTCCTCATTTCCTTCAAGTCTGTCCCCAAATGCCTTCTACCTGGTGTGTAATTGTCATGTGTGGCAGTTTTAAACATAGTCCAAAAACAGGTTGATATTCTTCTCATCAAAAAATAGGTCTATGTCTCCCTTCCCTAAATCTGGACGTGCTTGTGACTGCTACAATCAATAGAGTATGACAAATAATTCTACCTGACCTTTAAAGTGAGATAAAAAGAGACCAGGCATTTTCCACCTGGTTCCCTTGGAGTGTTTGATCTGCGGAAAGCCAGCAGCCATATAAGAAGTTTACCCTGTGCAGGCCGGGCGCGGTGGCTCAGGCCTGTAATCCCAGCACTTTGGGAGGCCAAGGCGGGTGGATCACGAGGTCAGGAGATCGAGACCATCCTGGCTAACACGGTGAAACCCCGTCTCTACTAAAAATACAAAAAATTAGCCGGGCCTGGTGGTGGGCGCCTGTAGTCCCAGCTACTCGGGAGGCTGAGGCAGGAGAATGGCGTGAACCCGGGAGGCGGAGTTTGCAGTTAGCCGAGATCGGGTCACACCACTCCAGCCTGGGGGACAGTGAGACTCCGTCTCAAAAAAAAAAGAAAAAAAAAAAAGTTTACCCTGTGCAGGCACTATAACTAAGAGTCCTTCCCATCTGAGCCTTGCCTTCCAGACAACTCCATCAATTTATAAGACAGAAAAAAAGCACCTTGCACCTTCCAGACTGACTTGTTTGCCAGCCGACTAGCACTGAGTCACCCTAGTTAATGATGTGAGAGAGGAAGAATCACTCAGATGAATCCTGCTGGAATTTCTCACCTATAGGATCCATGAGATATAATGAAGTGGTCGTTGTTTTACCTTATTAAATTTAGGGTAGTTTCTTTTTTCTTTTTCTTTTTTTAAATTTTTTTTTTTTTGAGACGGAGTCTCCCTCTGTCGCCCAGGCTGGACTGCAGTGGCGCGATCTCGGCTCACAGCAAGCTCCGCCTCCCGGGTTCACGCCATTCTCCTGCCTCAGCCTCCCGAGTAGCTGGGACTTAAGGCGCCCACCACCACCAGGCCAGGCTAACTTTTGTATTTTTAGTAGAGACAGAGTTTCACCGTATTAGGCAGGATGGTCTCGATCTCCTGAACTCATGATCCGCCCGTCTCAGCCTCCCAAACTGCTGGGATTACAGGCGTGAGCCACGGCGCCCAGGCCATTTGGGGAAGTTTCTTAAGCAGCAATAGTAACTGTAACACTGACTCACTTCTACTGCCACAAATCACTATCCACTTTTCCTGATTTACTTCTTCCTATGTACCGTCTTTTAAAAAACAAATAATTAGGCCGGGCTAAGTGGCTCACGCCTGTAATCCCAGCACTTTGGGAGGCTGAGGCGGGCGGATCACGAGGTCAGGAAATCGAGACCATCCTGGCTAACACGGTGAAACTCTGTCTCCACTAAAAATACAAAAAAGTAGCTGGGCGTGGTGGTGGGTGCCTGCAGTCCCAGCTACTCGGGAGGCTGAGGCAGGAGAATGGCGTGAACCCAGGAGGCGGAGCTTGCAGTGAGCCCAGATGGCGCCACTGCACTCCAGCCTGGGCGACAGAGCGAGACTCCGTCTCAAAAAAAAATAAAAATAAAAAATAAATAAAAAAAGATTTTTAATATATATATACGAGAATATGTGAAACAGTATTTTTTCAAGTTTCCATTGAAAATTTTAAAAATAGATTATATAAAACCTCAATATATTTTTTAAAATAAAAACCACACAGGTCACATTACCTACTCAAAATTTAATTACATTAGAAATTAAGACAAAGTTAAAACAGGACAACCAGCACCCCTAGTATCACCCTCCTCAGAGTATTTAAAAATAGATTCCTTTAAATTATCTCTTTTTTTACAAGAATAAAATCTAATCAATTATTAGAAAGATAATCTCAAACTGAACTCAAAAGAAGAAGCAAAGCATCTTCAAAGTCAATAAGGGTGCTATAAATGCTTCTTGGACTCTGAAACTCTCTGACTTCCCATTCTACTCTCAGTTGTAGAAAACTCCCTGATTGTGAAGTTTTGGTGTGATTAGGTTAGGTTTACCCAGATACTCCCCCCGTCTTAAGACTGACGGATTATTAGCCTTAGTGACATGTGCAAGACTCCTTTGCCGTGTGAGGTATCAACAGGGTAACATGAGGTAATGAAGGTCATAGGGGCTATCTTAGACTTCTTCCTGCTACAACCTCTATTCACTTATTTTGAATCCTCAGGGTTTAATGAGCTCCTACTATGTTCTAGGTCCTTGCAATAGGAGTACAGCAGTGAACAAGACAAACATGGTTCTGGTCCTTGGAGTACAAAGTAAATGCTGAAAATTTAATAAATGGGTCAGTAGATAGATAGATGTATAAAGGTCTAAATGCACATTCAGAAAATAGCAGGAGAAGACTGAGACTCAGTATTATTGAATATGCTTTAAAGGCCCATGTGTCGTCTTGAATGAAAATGTTGCTCAATTTCTGATGAGGAGACTAATTCATCAATATCTGTTATCATTGACTGATGACCTCACATAATAAAAGATCTTGACTTGAGTGTACGTTAATAATCAACATAATGGGTAATGTATCAAAAGAGTATATGGAACATAATAAAAAGATATAAATTGAAATCTTAAACAGTTTTGTGCTAAAATATGTTTAGAATTGCTTGAACCCAGGAGGCGGAGGTTGCAGTGAGCTGAGATTATGCCACTACACTCCAGCCTGGGCAACAAGATCCAACCTCCGTCTCAAACAAACAAACAAACAAACAAACAGAAACAACCCAAACAAACACAAAAAGTTACTATAATTGTATCTCTTTTGACTATAGCCTGGAAGAAATCACTTTCTCCCCAACTTAAGGAAGGGGAGACTTATCTCTAGCCAAGCTTTGAGTATAAACATATAAAAAGTAATTTTCATTTTCTTGAAACTGACTGCATGAAAAGGCATATGGTGTTCCCAAAAAATGTCTGAGAGTGAGATATTAAAATGACTAAACTGATGGGACATATTTAATTTAATATTTAAACTGATAAAAACTAGTTAAGCATTACTCAAGAATTTCAAAATGGTACAGCAAAGCATACAAGCAAAATTAAAAGGAATGCTAATTACATATTAAGTTAGAAGGCAATAAATTATAAACAAAAACAGTAACAATTTATAAACATACACAAGTTCATTCTTTAACAAATAACCCATGATACAGAAAAATATAGCAAATGTGATAAAACAAAAACTGAGAAAACATAAAATTTAAAGTGAAAAAAAAACAAAACATGCAGAAATTGTTTTAAAGACAAAAAATACTATCTTAGAAAATTAAATACGTGTTTCACTAAAATAAACATGTACTGCTTAAATGAATCTTAATTTAATTTTAAAAACAGTAAATAGGTTGCAGGCATCAATTTTTGCAAGAAATGTAAAACATTATTTTAAAAATTTTTATTAAAGTCCCTATAACCAGTGTTTTTAATAAGCATCTGTTTAAAACATCTTGTAAAATGGACCCCAAACTAGGAAATATGGATAAAGTTATAAAAAGTGGCTTCCTTTCAGTTCATTTTACAAAGCAAATATAACTATTACTAACTCTTGATGAAGTGAATACAAAAAGAATAAAATTACTAAACAGTATCCCTTATAAACATAGTTAAAATATTCTTAACTGAAAGAAAAAGGAACTGAATTCTACACTTACTAAGAAATCACCCACCCCAGTGATTTGGCATACAAAGATTTAATACTAGAAAATATATATTAATATAATGCAACACAACAATAAAGCTATTTACTTTATATTGTACATTTACTGCTACAGACTAAATGTTTACATCCCTCTCAAATTCATATGTTGAAATGCTAACCGCCAATGTGAGGGTTTTTGAAGGTGGGGCTTTTGGGAACTAATTAAGTCATGAGAGAGCAGCCCTCATTAATGGGTTTAGCACCCTTCTAAAGCAGCCCCCTGAACTCCCTTGCTCCTTCCCCAACTGAGGTTATAGAGAAAGGGCAGCCTTCTTTGAACTAGAACAAAAGTTTTTCCCAGACACCAGATTGGCTAGTACCTTGGTCTTAGATTTCCCAGACCCCAGAACTGTGAGAAATTCCTTTCTGTTGTTTATAAGCCACCAAGTCTATGGTATTCTGGTACAGCAGCCCATTTTTGATATTTATTTAATGATATTTAACATGCATGACTGATGAAATTTAACAAAGTAGTTATAGATATGTCCTTACCATGATTAAAAATAACTCTTAAATTGATGCATACTTTTATTATCTAGTTCTAGCCAAAGCCATAAGATGAAAGCACAAATAAGAAACCACCTATATGGCACATGTATACCTATATAACAAACCTGCATGTTCCTTGCATGTATCCCAGAACTGAAAATCATATTTTAAAAAAATTTATTTATATAGAAAAAAAGAGAGCAAATGATAATATTTTTCAAAAACTGATAATTTAATTATGGCAAGTTCTGTGTGATATGTGCCTGATGTGTGTGATATGTGTCTGATGTGATATGTGTGAGATGAAAAACACTAAGGGAGTATGTGATTTTGAGCATTCACGTGCCCATAAATCCTTGTTAGAATTAAAATATCACATTAAACCTCTCTCTTTCTTTTAATGTCCATGGTTTCTTTATATGTTTTAGTAAGTGACACAGAGGAAAATACTGAGCGGACACCGTTTCTAAATTGGTAAACTGCCCTGAACTGCCACTTTACTCTTTTCTACAGCAAGTGTGGAAGATTAGAGTTCAGGCAAACATGTCATGTAAGTGGTGAAGATTCCCTTTTTCCACTGGGACAGCAGTAGAACTGAAGGGAAATCAGACAACAGCTACCTCAGCAGGAGAGCCTCAATGATGACACTTTTGCCTCAACAGTGGAAGCTGGTAGTTTCCAAAAATAGAGCTAAAAAGTGAATCAAGTTTTAAAGCACATTGAAAGTCACACGTAAAATTCATTATTACAGAAAAGCTATAAACCAATCACAGTAAATGAGTGAATTTAGAAATTAAATTTTAATATGAAAGGTTCATGTTGTCAAAACTGACTATGTTAGTCCATCTCAATGCTATAAAGGAATACCTGAGACTGGGTAATTTATAAAGAAAAGAGGAGTATTTGGGCTGATGGTTTGCAGGCTGTACAAACAGGCCACCAGTATCTGCTCAGCTTCTGCTGAGGCCCGGGAAGCTGACAATCATGGCTTAAGGCAAAGGGGGAGCTGGCATATTACATGGGGAGAGAGGGAGCAAGGGAGATGCCAGGCTCTTTTAAACAACAAGATCTCTCGTGAATTCATAGAGCAAGAACTCACTCATTACCAGGAGGACAGCACAAAACCATTCATGGGGATCCACCCTTGGGAAACAAACACCTATTACTAGGCCCACCTCCAACACTGGAGGTCGCATTTCAACATGAGATTTGGAGGGGACAAAACATCCAAACCGTATCACTAACGGAAAATTATTGTTTAAATTTCTGTATTCAGTCCCTTGGCCTTTTTGAGAAATGCCATTCATTTCAGCCATCAAGCAAATTATTATTTGAGACATTTATACCTCTTCATCCTTTAAAAGTTTCAGAAGCATGAATTTAAAAAGTATTCATTGTAAATTTGAGGCTAGTCAAATTGATGTGGCATCTAAGTAGCACGGTGATGGGATGAGGAGACAAAGTCACGAGGGAAGGTAGGAAGAAGCAGAGAGAAAAAGAGAAATAGGAAGAGAGAAAAAGAAATGAGGAGAGAGTATAAGAAAAATAAAGAAGAAAGAGGAAAAGAAAAATGGTTTAAATGAGAGGCAAATGTCATCTGATGTTTTACCATGGGGCCATAGGGTATTTGAAGATTCAGAAAATTCGTAAGTTATTAAAAAATGTGACTCTAGGGTAGTGAGGTTATAACTTGTAAGAAAACAAGAAGTGATTCCTTTTAAGAGAGCCTTCTTGGCCGGGAGCTGTGGCTCACGCCTGTAATCCCAGCACTTTGGGAGGCCGAGGCGGGTGGATCACGAGGTCAGGAGATCGAGACCATCCTGGCTAACACGGTGAAACCCCGTCTCTACTAAAAATACAAAAAAATAGCTGGGCCTGGTGGTGGGCGCCTGTAGTCCCAGCTACTCGGGAGGCTGAGGCAGGAGAATGGCGTGAACCCGGGAGGCGGAGCTTGCAGTTAGCCGAGATCGGGCCACACCACTCCAGCCTGGGGGACAGTGAGACTCCGTCTCAAAAAAAAAAGAAAAAAAAAAAGTTTACCCTGTGCAGGCACTATAACTAAGAGTCCTTCCCATCTGAGCCTTGCCTTCCAGACAACTCCACCAATTTATAAGACAGAAAAAAAGCACCTTGCACCTTCCAGACTGACTTGTTTGCCAGCCGACTAGCACTGAGTCACCCTAGTTAATGATGTGAGAGAGGAAGAATCACTCAGATGAATCCTGCTGGAATTTCTCACCTATAGGATCCATGAGATATAATGAAGTGGTCGTTGTTTTACCTTATTAAATTTAGGGTAGTTTCTTTTTTCTTTTTCTTTTTTTAAATTTTTTTTTTTTGAGACGGAGTCTCCCTCTGTGGCCCAAGCTGGACTGCAGTGGCGCGATCTCGGCTCACAGCAAGCTCCGCCTCCCGGGTTCACGCCATTCTCCTGCCTCAGCCTCCCGAGTAGCTGGGACTTAAGGCGCCCACCACCACCAGGCCAGGCTAACTTTTGTATTTTTAGTAGAGACAGAGTTTCACCGTATTAGGCAGGATGGTCTCGATCTCCTGAACTCATGATCCGCCCGTCTCAGCCTCCCAAACTGCTGGGATTACAGGCGTGAGCCACGGCGCCCAGGCCATTTGGGTTAGTTTCTTAAGCAGCAATAGTAACTGTAACACTGACTCACTTCTACTGCCACCAATCACTATCCACTTTTCCTGATTTACTTCTTCCTATGTACCGTCTTTTAAAAAACAAATAATTAGGCCGGGCTAAGTGGCTCACGCCTGTAATCCCAGCACTTTGGGAGGCTGAGGCGGGCGGATCACGAGGTCAGGAAATCGAGACCATCCTGGCTAACACGGTGAAACTCTGTCTCCACTAAAAATACAAAAAAGTAGCTGGGCGTGGTGGTGGGTGCCTGCAGTCCCAGCTATTCGGGAGGCTGAGGCAGGAGAATGGCGTGAACCCAGGAGGCGGAGCTTGCAGTGAGCCCAGATGGCGCCACTGCACTCCAGCCTGGGCGACAGAGCGAGACTCCGTCTCAAAAAAAAATAAAAATAAAAAATAAATAAAAAAAGATTTTTAATATATATATACGAGAATATGTGAAACAGTATGTTTTCAAGTTTCCATTGAATATTTTAAAAATAGATTATATAAAACCTCAATATATTTTTTAAAATAAAAACCACACAGGTCACATTACCTACTCAAAATTTAATTACATTAGAAATTAAGACAAAGTTAAAACAGGACAACCAGCACCCCTAGTATCACCCTCCTCAGAGTATTTAAAAATAGATTCCTTTAAATTATCTCTTTTTTTACAAGAATAAAATCTAATCAATTATTAGAAAGATAATCTCAAACTGAACTCAAAAGAAGAAGCAAAGCATCTTCAAAGTCAATAAGGGTGCTATAAATGCTTCTTGGACTCTGAAACTCTCTGACTTCCCATTCTACTCTCAGTTGTAGAAAACTCCCTGATTGTGAAGTTTTGGTGTGATTAGGTTAGGTTTACCCAGATACTCCCCCCGTCTTAAGGCTGACGGATTATTAGCCTTAGTGACATGTGCAAGACTCCTTTGCCGTGTGAGGTATCAACAGGGTAACATGAGGAAATGAAGGTCATAGGGGCTATCTTAGACTTCTTCCTGCTACAACCTCTATTCACTTATTTTGAAACCTCAGAGTTTAATGAGCTCCTACTATGTTCTAGGTCCTTGCAATAGGAGTACACCAGTGAACAAGACAAACATGGTTCTGGTCCTTGGAGTACAAAGTAAATGCTGAAAATTTAATAAATGGGTCAGTAGATAGATAGATGTATAAAGGTCTAAATGCACATTCAGAAAATAGCAGGAGAACACTGAGACTCAGTATTATTGAATATGCTTTAAAGGCCCATGTGTCGTCTTGAATGAAAATGTTGCTCAATTTCTGATGAGGAGACTAATTCATCAATATCTGTTATCATTGACTGATGACCTCACATAATAAAAGATCTTGACTTGAGTGTACGTTAATAATCAACATAATGGGTAATGTATCAAAAGAGTATATGGAAGATAATAAAAAGATATAAATTGAAATCTTAAATAGTTTTGTGCTAAAATATGTTTAGAATTGCTTGAACCCAGGAGGCGGAGGTTGCAGTGAGCTGAGATTATGCCACTACACTCCAGCCTGGGCAACAAGATCCAACCTCCGTCTCAAACAAACAAACAAACAAACAAACAGAAACAACCCAAACAAACACAAAAAGTTACTATAATTGTATCTCTTTTGATTATAGCCTGGAAGAAATCACTCTCTCCCCAACTTAAGGAAGGGGAGACTTATCTCTAGCCAAGCTTTGAGTATAAACATATAAAAAGTAATTTTCATTTTCTTGAAACTGACTGCATGAAAAGGCATATGGTGTTCCCAAAAAATGTCTGATGAGTGAGAATATTAAAATGACTAAACTGATGGGACATATTTAATTTAATATTTAAACTTGATAAAAAATAGTTAAGCATTTAACTCAAGAATTTCAAAATGGTACAGCAAAGCATACAAGCAAAATTAAAAGGAATGCTAATTACATATTAAGTTAGAAGGCAATAAATTATAAACAAAAACAGTAACAATTTATAAACATACACAAGTTCATTCTTTAACAAATAACCCATGATACAGAAAAATATAGCAAATGTGATAAAACAAAAACTGAGAAAACATAAAATTTAAAGTGAAAAAAAAACAAAACATGCAGAAATTGTTTTAAAGACAAAAAATACTATCTTAGAAAATTAAATACGTGTTTCACTAAAATAAACATGTACTGCTTAAATGAATCTTAATTTAATTTTAAAAACAGTAAATAGGTTGCAGGCATCAATTTTTGCAAGAAATGTAAAACATTATTTTAAAAATTTTTATTAAAGTCCCTATAACCGGTGTTTTTAATAAGCATCTGTTTAAAACATCTTGTAAAATGGACCCCAAACTAGGAAATATGGATAAAGTTATAAAAAGTGGCTTCCTTTCAGTTCATTTTACAAAGCAAATATAACTATTACTAACTCTTGATGAAGTGAATACAAAAAGAATAAAATTACTAAACAGTATCCCTTATAAACATAGTTAAAATATTCTTAACTGAAAGAAAAAGGAACTGAATTCTACACTTACTAAGAAATCACCCACCCCAGTGATTTGGCATACAAAGATTTAATACTAGAAAATATATATTAATATAATGCAACACAACAATAAAGCTATTTACTTTATATTGTACATTTACTGCTACAGACTAAATGTTTACATCCCTCTCAAATTCATATGTTGAAATGCTAACCGCCAATGTGAGGGTTTTTGAAGGTGGGGCTTTTGGGAACTAATTAAGTCATGAGAGAGCAGCCCTCATTAATGGGTTTAGCACCCTTCTAAAGCAGCCCCCTGAACTCCCTTGCTCCTTCCCCAACTGAGGTTATAGAGAAAGGGCAGCCTTCTTTGAACTAGAACAAAAGTTTTTCCCAGACACCAGATTGGCTAGTACCTTGGTCTTAGATTTCCCAGACCCCAGAACTGTGAGAAATTCCTTTCTGTTGTTTATAAGCCACCAAGTCTATGGTATTCTGGTACAGCAGCCCATTTTTGATATTTATTTAATGATATTTAACATGCATGACTGATGAAATTTAACAAAGTAGTTATAGATATGTCCTTACCATGATTAAAAATAACTCTTAAATTGATGCATACTTTTATTATCTAGTTCTAGCCAAAGCCATAAGATGAAAGCACAAATAAGAAACCACCTATATGGCACATGTATACCTATATAACAAACCTGCATGTTCCTTGCATGTATCCCAGAACTGAAAATCATATTTTAAAAAAATTTATTTATATAGAAAAAAAGAGAGCAAATGATAATATTTTTCAAAAACTGATAATTTAATTATGGCAAGTTCTGTGTGATATGTGCCTGATGTGTGTGATATGTGTCTGATGTGATATGTGTGAGATGAAAAACACTAAGGGAGTATGTGATTTTGAGCATTCACGTGCCCATAAATCCTTGTTAGAATTAAAATATCACATTAAACCTCTCTCTTTCTTTTAATGTCCATGGTTTCTTTATATGTTTTAGTAAGTGACACAGAGGAAAATACTGAGCGGACACCGTTTCTAAATTGGTAAACTGCCCTGAACTGCCACTTTACTCTTTTCTACAGCAAGTGTGGAAGATTAGAGTTCAGGCAAACATGTCATGTAAGTGGTGAAGATTCCCTTTTTCCACTGGGACAGCAGTAGAACTGAAGGGAAATCAGACAACAGCTACCTCAGCAGGAGAGCCTCAATGATGACACTTTTGCCTCAACAGTGGAAGCTGGTAGTTTCCAAAAATAGAGCTAAAAAGTGAATCAAGTTTTAAAGCACATTGAAAGTCACACGTAAAATTCATTATTACAGAAAAGCTATAAACCAATCACAGTAAATGAGTGAATTTAGAAATTAAATTTTAATATGAAAGGTTCATGTTGTCAAAACTGACTATGTTAGTCCATCTCAATGCTATAAAGGAATACCTGAGACTGGGTAATTTATAAAGAAAAGAGGAGTATTTGGGCTGATGGTTTGCAGGCTGTACAAACAGGCCACCAGTATCTGCTCAGCTTCTGCTGAGGCCCGGGAAGCTGACAATCATGGCTTAAGGCAAAGGGGGAGCTGGCATATTACATGGGGAGAGAGGGAGCAAGGGAGATGCCAGGCTCTTTTAAACAACAAGATCTCTCGTGAATTCATAGAGCAAGAACTCACTCATTACCAGGAGGACAGCACAAAACCATTCATGGGGATCCACCCTTGGGAAACAAACACCTATTACTAGGCCCACCTCCAACACTGGAGGTCGCATTTCAACATGAGATTTGGAGGGGACAAAACATCCAAACCGTATCACTAACGGAAAATTATTGTTTAAATTTCTGTATTCAGTCCCTTGGCCTTTTTGAGAAATGCCATTCATTTCAGCCATCAAGCAAATTATTATTTGAGACATTTATACCTCTTCATCCTTTAAAAGTTTCAGAAGCATGAATTTAAAAAGTATTCATTGTAAATTTGAGGCTAGTCAAATTGATGTGGCATCTAAGTAGCACGGTGATGGGATGAGGAGACAAAGTCACGAGGGAAGGTAGGAAGAAGCAGAGAGAAAAAGAGAAATAGGAAGAGAGAAAAAGAAATGAGGAGAGAGTATAAGAAAAATAAAGAAGAAAGAGGAAAAGAAAAATGGTTTAAATGAGAGGCAAATGTCATCTGATGTTTTACCATGGGGCCATAGGGTATTTGAAGATTCAGAAAATTCGTAAGTTATTAAAAAATGTGACTCTAGGGTAGTGAGGTTATAACTTGTAAGAAAACAAGAAGTGATTCCTTTTAAGAGAGCCTTCTTGGCCGGGAGCTGTGGCTCACGCCTGTAATCCCAGCACTTTGGGAGGCCGAGGCGGGTGGATCACGAGGTCAGGAGATCGAGACCATCCTGGCTAACACGGTGAAACCCCGTCTCTACTAAAAATACAAAAAAATAGCCGGGCCTGGTGGTGGGCGCCTGTAGTCCCAGCTACTCGGGAGGCTGAGGCAGGAGAATGGCGTGAACCCGGGAGGCGGAGCTTGCAGTTAGCCGAGATCGGGCCACACCACTCCAGCCTGGGGGACAGTGAGACTCCGTCTCAAAAAAAAAAGAAAAAAAAAAAGTTTACCCTGTGCAGGCACTATAACTAAGAGTCCTTCCCATCTGAGCCTTGCCTTCCAGACAACTCCACCAATTTATAAGACAGAAAAAAAGCACCTTGCACCTTCCAGACTGACTTGTTTGCCAGCCGACTAGCACTGAGTCACCCTAGTTAATGATGTGAGAGAGGAAGAATCACTCAGATGAATCCTGCTGGAATTTCTCACCTATAGGATCCATGAGATATAATGAAGTGGTCGTTGTTTTACCTTATTAAATTTAGGGTAGTTTCTTTTTTCTTTTTCTTTTTTTAAATTTTTTTTTTTTGAGACGGAGTCTCCCTCTGTGGCCCAAGCTGGACTGCAGTGGCGCGATCTCGGCTCACAGCAAGCTCCGCCTCCCGGGTTCACGCCATTCTCCTGCCTCAGCCTCCCGAGTAGCTGGGACTTAAGGCGCCCACCACCACCAGGCCAGGCTAACTTTTGTATTTTTAGTAGAGACAGAGTTTCACCGTATTAGGCAGGATGGTCTCGATCTCCTGAACTCATGATCCGCCCGTCTCAGCCTCCCAAAGTGCTGGGATTACAGGCGTGAGCCACGGCGCCCAGGCCATTTGGGTTAGTTTCTTAAGCAGCAATAGTAACTGTAACACTGACTCACTTCTACTGCCACCAATCACTATCCACTTTTCCTGATTTACTTCTTCCTATGTACCGTCTTTTAAAAAACAAATAATTAGGCCGGGCTAAGTGGCTCACGCCTGTAATCCCAGCACTTTGGGAGGCTGAGGCGGGCGGATCACGAGGTCAGGAAATCGAGACCATCCTGGCTAACACGGTGAAACTCTGTCTCCACTAAAAATACAAAAAATTAGCTGGGCGTGGTGGTGGGTGCCTGCAGTCCCAGCTACTCGGGAGGCTGAGGCAGGAGAATGGCGTGAACCCAGGAGGCGGAGCTTGCAGTGAGCCCAGATGGCGCCACTGCACTCCAGCCTGGGCGACAGAGCGAGACTCCGTCTCAAAAAAAAATAAAAATAAAAAATAAATAAAAAAAGATTTTTAATATATATATACGAGAATATGTGAAACAGTATGTTTTCAAGTTTCCATTGAATATTTTAAAAATAGATTATATAAAACCTCAATATATTTTTTAAAATAAAAACCACACAGGTCACATTACCTACTCAAAATTTAATTACATTAGAAATTAAGACAAAGTTAAAACAGGACAACCAGCACCCCTAGTATCACCCTCCTCAGAGTATTTAAAAATAGATTCCTTTAAATTATCTCTTTTTTTACAAGAATAAAATCTAATCAATTATTAGAAAGATAATCTCAAACTGAACTCAAAAGAAGAAGCAAAGCATCTTCAAAGTCAATAAGGGTGCTATAAATGCTTCTTGGACTCTGAAACTCTCTGACTTCCCATTCTACTCTCAGTTGTAGAAAACTCCCTGATTGTGAAGTTTTGGTGTGATTAGGTTAGGTTTACCCAGATACTCCCCCCGTCTTAAGGCTGACGGATTATTAGCCTTAGTGACATGTGCAAGACTCCTTTGCCGTGTGAGGTATCAACAGGGTAACATGAGGAAATGAAGGTCATAGGGGCTATCTTAGACTTCTTCCTGCTACAACCTCTATTCACTTATTTTGAAACCTCAGAGTTTAATGAGCTCCTACTATGTTCTAGGTCCTTGCAATAGGAGTACACCAGTGAACAAGACAAACATGGTTCTGGTCCTTGGAGTACAAAGTAAATGCTGAAAATTTAATAAATGGGTCAGTAGATAGATAGATGTATAAAGGTCTAAATGCACATTCAGAAAATAGCAGGAGAACACTGAGACTCAGTATTATTGAATATGCTTTAAAGGCCCATGTGTCGTCTTGAATGAAAATGTTGCTCAATTTCTGATGAGGAGACTAATTCATCAATATCTGTTATCATTGACTGATGACCTCACATAATAAAAGATCTTGACTTGAGTGTACGTTAATAATCAACATAATGGGTAATGTATCAAAAGAGTATATGGAAGATAATAAAAAGATATAAATTGAAATCTTAAATAGTTTTGTGCTAAAATATGTTTAGAATTGCTTGAACCCAGGAGGCGGAGGTTGCAGTGAGCTGAGATTATGCCACTACACTCCAGCCTGGGCAACAAGATCCAACCTCCGTCTCAAACAAACAAACAAACAAACAAACAGAAACAACCCAAACAAACACAAAAAGTTACTATAATTGTATCTCTTTTGATTATAGCCTGGAAGAAATCACTCTCTCCCCAACTTAAGGAAGGGGAGACTTATCTCTAGCCAAGCTTTGAGTATAAACATATAAAAAGTAATTTTCATTTTCTTGAAACTGACTGCATGAAAAGGCATATGGTGTTCCCAAAAAATGTCTGATGAGTGAGAATATTAAAATGACTAAACTGATGGGACATATTTAATTTAATATTTAAACTTGATAAAAAATAGTTAAGCATTTAACTCAAGAATTTCAAAATGGTACAGCAAAGCATACAAGCAAAATTAAAAGGAATGCTAATTACATATTAAGTTAGAAGGCAATAAATTATAAACAAAAACAGTAACAATTTATAAACATACACAAGTTCATTCTTTAACAAATAACCCATGATACAGAAAAATATAGCAAATGTGATAAAACAAAAACTGAGAAAACATAAAATTTAAAGTGAAAAAAAAACAAAACATGCAGAAATTGTTTTAAAGACAAAAAATACTATCTTAGAAAATTAAATACGTGTTTCACTAAAATAAACATGTACTGCTTAAATGAATCTTAATTTAATTTTAAAAACAGTAAATAGGTTGCAGGCATCAATTTTTGCAAGAAATGTAAAACATTATTTTAAAAATTTTTATTAAAGTCCCTATAACCGGTGTTTTTAATAAGCATCTGTTTAAAACATCTTGTAAAATGGACCCCAAACTAGGAAATATGGATAAAGTTATAAAAAGTGGCTTCCTTTCAGTTCATTTTACAAAGCAAATATAACTATTACTAACTCTTGATGAAGTGAATACAAAAAGAATAAAATTACTAAACAGTATCCCTTATAAACATAGTTAAAATATTCTTAACTGAAAGAAAAAGGAACTGAATTCTACACTTACTAAGAAATCACCCACCCCAGTGATTTGGCATACAAAGATTTAATACTAGAAAATATATATTAATATAATGCAACACAACAATAAAGCTATTTACTTTATATTGTACATTTACTGCTACAGACTAAATGTTTACATCCCTCTCAAATTCATATGTTGAAATGCTAACCGCCAATGTGAGGGTTTTTGAAGGTGGGGCTTTTGGGAACTAATTAAGTCATGAGAGAGCAGCCCTCATTAATGGGTTTAGCACCCTTCTAAAGCAGCCCCCTGAACTCCCTTGCTCCTTCCCCAACTGAGGTTATAGAGAAAGGGCAGCCTTCTTTGAACTAGAACAAAAGTTTTTCCCAGACACCAGATTGGCTAGTACCTTGGTCTTAGATTTCCCAGACCCCAGAACTGTGAGAAATTCCTTTCTGTTGTTTATAAGCCACCAAGTCTATGGTATTCTGGTACAGCAGCCCATTTTTGATATTTATTTAATGATATTTAACATGCATGACTGATGAAATTTAACAAAGTAGTTATAGATATGTCCTTACCATGATTAAAAATAACTCTTAAATTGATGCATACTTTTATTATCTAGTTCTAGCCAAAGCCATAAGATGAAAGCACAAATAAGAAACCACCTATATGGCACATGTATACCTATATAACAAACCTGCATGTTCCTTGCATGTATCCCAGAACTGAAAATCATATTTTAAAAAAATTTATTTATATAGAAAAAAAGAGAGCAAATGATAATATTTTTCAAAAACTGATAATTTAATTATGGCAAGTTCTGTGTGATATGTGCCTGATGTGTGTGATATGTGTCTGATGTGATATGTGTGAGATGAAAAACACTAAGGGAGTATGTGATTTTGAGCATTCACGTGCCCATAAATCCTTGTTAGAATTAAAATATCACATTAAACCTCTCTCTTTCTTTTAATGTCCATGGTTTCTTTATATGTTTTAGTAAGTGACACAGAGGAAAATACTGAGCGGACACCGTTTCTAAATTGGTAAACTGCCCTGAACTGCCACTTTACTCTTTTCTACAGCAAGTGTGGAAGATTAGAGTTCAGGCAAACATGTCATGTAAGTGGTGAAGATTCCCTTTTTCCACTGGGACAGCAGTAGAACTGAAGGGAAATCAGACAACAGCTACCTCAGCAGGAGAGCCTCAATGATGACACTTTTGCCTCAACAGTGGAAGCTGGTAGTTTCCAAAAATAGAGCTAAAAAGTGAATCAAGTTTTAAAGCACATTGAAAGTCACACGTAAAATTCATTATTACAGAAAAGCTATAAACCAATCACAGTAAATGAGTGAATTTAGAAATTAAATTTTAATATGAAAGGTTCATGTTGTCAAAACTGACTATGTTAGTCCATCTCAATGCTATAAAGGAATACCTGAGACTGGGTAATTTATAAAGAAAAGAGGAGTATTTGGGCTGATGGTTTGCAGGCTGTACAAACAGGCCACCAGTATCTGCTCAGCTTCTGCTGAGGCCCGGGAAGCTGACAATCATGGCTTAAGGCAAAGGGGGAGCTGGCATATTACATGGGGAGAGAGGGAGCAAGGGAGATGCCAGGCTCTTTTAAACAACAAGATCTCTCGTGAATTCATAGAGCAAGAACTCACTCATTACCAGGAGGACAGCACAAAACCATTCATGGGGATCCACCCTTGGGAAACAAACACCTATTACTAGGCCCACCTCCAACACTGGAGGTCGCATTTCAACATGAGATTTGGAGGGGACAAAACATCCAAACCGTATCACTAACGGAAAATTATTGTTTAAATTTCTGTATTCAGTCCCTTGGCCTTTTTGAGAAATGCCATTCATTTCAGCCATCAAGCAAATTATTATTTGAGACATTTATACCTCTTCATCCTTTAAAAGTTTCAGAAGCATGAATTTAAAAAGTATTCATTGTAAATTTGAGGCTAGTCAAATTGATGTGGCATCTAAGTAGCACGGTGATGGGATGAGGAGACAAAGTCACGAGGGAAGGTAGGAAGAAGCAGAGAGAAAAAGAGAAATAGGAAGAGAGAAAAAGAAATGAGGAGAGAGTATAAGAAAAATAAAGAAGAAAGAGGAAAAGAAAAATGGTTTAAATGAGAGGCAAATGTCATCTGATGTTTTACCATGGGGCCATAGGGTATTTGAAGATTCAGAAAATTCGTAAGTTATTAAAAAATGTGACTCTAGGGTAGTGAGGTTATAACTTGTAAGAAAACAAGAAGTGATTCCTTTTAAGAGAGCCTTCTTGGCCGGGAGCTGTGGCTCACGCCTGTAATCCCAGCACTTTGGGAGGCCGAGGCGGGTGGATCACGAGGTCAGGAGATCGAGACCATCCTGGCTAACACGGTGAAACCCCGTCTCTACTAAAAATACAAAAAAATAGCCGGGCCTGGTGGTGGGCGCCTGTAGTCCCAGCTACTCGGGAGGCTGAGGCAGGAGAATGGCGTGAACCCGGGAGGCGGAGCTTGCAGTTAGCCGAGATCGGGCCACACCACTCCAGCCTGGGGGACAGTGAGACTCCGTCTCAAAAAAAAAAGAAAAAAAAAAAGTTTACCCTGTGCAGGCACTATAACTAAGAGTCCTTCCCATCTGAGCCTTGCCTTCCAGACAACTCCACCAATTTATAAGACAGAAAAAAAGCACCTTGCACCTTCCAGACTGACTTGTTTGCCAGCCGACTAGCACTGAGTCACCCTAGTTAATGATGTGAGAGAGGAAGAATCACTCAGATGAATCCTGCTGGAATTTCTCACCTATAGGATCCATGAGATATAATGAAGTGGTCGTTGTTTTACCTTATTAAATTTAGGGTAGTTTCTTTTTTCTTTTTCTTTTTTTAAATTTTTTTTTTTTGAGACGGAGTCTCCCTCTGTGGCCCAAGCTGGACTGCAGTGGCGCGATCTCGGCTCACAGCAAGCTCCGCCTCCCGGGTTCACGCCATTCTCCTGCCTCAGCCTCCCGAGTAGCTGGGACTTAAGGCGCCCACCACCACCAGGCCAGGCTAACTTTTGTATTTTTAGTAGAGACAGAGTTTCACCGTATTAGGCAGGATGGTCTCGATCTCCTGAACTCATGATCCGCCCGTCTCAGCCTCCCAAACTGCTGGGATTACAGGCGTGAGCCACGGCGCCCAGGCCATTTGGGTTAGTTTCTTAAGCAGCAATAGTAACTGTAACACTGACTCACTTCTACTGCCACCAATCACTATCCACTTTTCCTGATTTACTTCTTCCTATGTACCGTCTTTTAAAAAACAAATAATTAGGCCGGGCTAAGTGGCTCACGCCTGTAATCCCAGCACTTTGGGAGGCTGAGGCGGGCGGATCACGAGGTCAGGAAATCGAGACCATCCTGGCTAACACGGTGAAACTCTGTCTCCACTAAAAATACAAAAAATTAGCTGGGCGTGGTGGTGGGTGCCTGCAGTCCCAGCTACTCGGGAGGCTGAGGCAGGAGAATGGCGTGAACCCAGGAGGCGGAGCTTGCAGTGAGCCCAGATGGCGCCACTGCACTCCAGCCTGGGCGACAGAGCGAGACTCCGTCTCAAAAAAAAATAAAAATAAAAAATAAATAAAAAAAGATTTTTAATATATATATACGAGAATATGTGAAACAGTATGTTTTCAAGTTTCCATTGAATATTTTAAAAATAGATTATATAAAACCTCAATATATTTTTTAAAATAAAAACCACACAGGTCACATTACCTACTCAAAATTTAATTACATTAGAAATTAAGACAAAGTTAAAACAGGACAACCAGCACCCCTAGTATCACCCTCCTCAGAGTATTTAAAAATAGATTCCTTTAAATTATCTCTTTTTTTACAAGAATAAAATCTAATCAATTATTAGAAAGATAATCTCAAACTGAACTCAAAAGAAGAAGCAAAGCATCTTCAAAGTCAATAAGGGTGCTATAAATGCTTCTTGGACTCTGAAACTCTCTGACTTCCCATTCTACTCTCAGTTGTAGAAAACTCCCTGATTGTGAAGTTTTGGTGTGATTAGGTTAGGTTTACCCAGATACTCCCCCCGTCTTAAGGCTGACGGATTATTAGCCTTAGTGACATGTGCAAGACTCCTTTGCCGTGTGAGGTATCAACAGGGTAACATGAGGAAATGAAGGTCATAGGGGCTATCTTAGACTTCTTCCTGCTACAACCTCTATTCACTTATTTTGAAACCTCAGAGTTTAATGAGCTCCTACTATGTTCTAGGTCCTTGCAATAGGAGTACACCAGTGAACAAGACAAACATGGTTCTGGTCCTTGGAGTACAAAGTAAATGCTGAAAATTTAATAAATGGGTCAGTAGATAGATAGATGTATAAAGGTCTAAATGCACATTCAGAAAATAGCAGGAGAACACTGAGACTCAGTATTATTGAATATGCTTTAAAGGCCCATGTGTCGTCTTGAATGAAAATGTTGCTCAATTTCTGATGAGGAGACTAATTCATCAATATCTGTTATCATTGACTGATGACCTCACATAATAAAAGATCTTGACTTGAGTGTACGTTAATAATCAACATAATGGGTAATGTATCAAAAGAGTATATGGAAGATAATAAAAAGATATAAATTGAAATCTTAAATAGTTTTGTGCTAAAATATGTTTAGAATTGCTTGAACCCAGGAGGCGGAGGTTGCAGTGAGCTGAGATTATGCCACTACACTCCAGCCTGGGCAACAAGATCCAACCTCCGTCTCAAACAAACAAACAAACAAACAAACAGAAACAACCCAAACAAACACAAAAAGTTACTATAATTGTATCTCTTTTGATTATAGCCTGGAAGAAATCACTCTCTCCCCAACTTAAGGAAGGGGAGACTTATCTCTAGCCAAGCTTTGAGTATAAACATATAAAAAGTAATTTTCATTTTCTTGAAACTGACTGCATGAAAAGGCATATGGTGTTCCCAAAAAATGTCTGATGAGTGAGAATATTAAAATGACTAAACTGATGGGACATATTTAATTTAATATTTAAACTTGATAAAAAATAGTTAAGCATTTAACTCAAGAATTTCAAAATGGTACAGCAAAGCATACAAGCAAAATTAAAAGGAATGCTAATTACATATTAAGTTAGAAGGCAATAAATTATAAACAAAAACAGTAACAATTTATAAACATACACAAGTTCATTCTTTAACAAATAACCCATGATACAGAAAAATATAGCAAATGTGATAAAACAAAAACTGAGAAAACATAAAATTTAAAGTGAAAAAAAAACAAAACATGCAGAAATTGTTTTAAAGACAAAAAATACTATCTTAGAAAATTAAATACGTGTTTCACTAAAATAAACATGTACTGCTTAAATGAATCTTAATTTAATTTTAAAAACAGTAAATAGGTTGCAGGCATCAATTTTTGCAAGAAATGTAAAACATTATTTTAAAAATTTTTATTAAAGTCCCTATAACCGGTGTTTTTAATAAGCATCTGTTTAAAACATCTTGTAAAATGGACCCCAAACTAGGAAATATGGATAAAGTTATAAAAAGTGGCTTCCTTTCAGTTCATTTTACAAAGCAAATATAACTATTACTAACTCTTGATGAAGTGAATACAAAAAGAATAAAATTACTAAACAGTATCCCTTATAAACATAGTTAAAATATTCTTAACTGAAAGAAAAAGGAACTGAATTCTACACTTACTAAGAAATCACCCACCCCAGTGATTTGGCATACAAAGATTTAATACTAGAAAATATATATTAATATAATGCAACACAACAATAAAGCTATTTACTTTATATTGTACATTTACTGCTACAGACTAAATGTTTACATCCCTCTCAAATTCATATGTTGAAATGCTAACCGCCAATGTGAGGGTTTTTGAAGGTGGGGCTTTTGGGAACTAATTAAGTCATGAGAGAGCAGCCCTCATTAATGGGTTTAGCACCCTTCTAAAGCAGCCCCCTGAACTCCCTTGCTCCTTCCCCAACTGAGGTTATAGAGAAAGGGCAGCCTTCTTTGAACTAGAACAAAAGTTTTTCCCAGACACCAGATTGGCTAGTACCTTGGTCTTAGATTTCCCAGACCCCAGAACTGTGAGAAATTCCTTTCTGTTGTTTATAAGCCACCAAGTCTATGGTATTCTGGTACAGCAGCCCATTTTTGATATTTATTTAATGATATTTAACATGCATGACTGATGAAATTTAACAAAGTAGTTATAGATATGTCCTTACCATGATTAAAAATAACTCTTAAATTGATGCATACTTTTATTATCTAGTTCTAGCCAAAGCCATAAGATGAAAACACAAATAAGAAACCACCTATATGGCACATGTATACCTATATAACAAACCTGCATGTTCCGTGCATGTATCCCAGAACTGAAAATCATATTTTAAAAAAATTTATTTATATAGAAAAAAAGAGAGCAAATGATAATATTTTTCAAAAACTGATAATTTAATTACGGTAAGTTCTGTGTGATATGTGCCTGAAATGTGTGATATGTATCTGATGTGATATGTGTGAGATGAAAAACACTAAGGGGGTATGTGATTTTGAGCATTCATGTGCCCATAAATCCTTGTTAGAATTAAAATATCACATTAAACCTCTCTCTTTCTTTTAATGTCCATGGTTTCTTTTATATGTTTTAGTAAGTGACACAGAGGAAAATACTGAGCGGACACCATTTCTAAATTGGTAAACTGCCCTGAACTGCCACTTTACTCTTTTCTACAGCAAGTGTGGAAGATTAGAGTTCAGGCAAACATGTCATGTAAGTGGTGAAGATTCCCTTTTTCCACTGGGACAGCAGTAGAACTGAAGGGAAATCAGACAACAGCTACCTCAGCAGGAGAGCCTCAATGATGACACTTTTGCCTCAACAGTGGAAGCTGGTAGTTTCCAAAAATAGAGCTAAAAAGTGAATCAAGTTTTAAAGCACATTGAAAGTCACACGTAAGATTCATTATTACAGAAAAGCTATAAACCAATCACAGTAAATGAGTGAATTTAGAAATTAAATTTTAATATGAAAGGTTCATGTTGTCAAAACTGACTATGTTAGTCCATCTCAATGCTATAAAGGAATACCTGAGACTGGGTAATTTATAAAGAAAAGAGGAGTATTTGGCTGATGGTCTGCAGGCTGTACAAACAGGCCACCAGTATCTGCTCAGCTTCTGCTGAGGCCCGGGAAGCTGACAATCATGGCTTAAGGCAAAGGGGGAGCTGGCATATTACATGGGGAGAGAGGGAGCAAGGGAGATGCCAGGCTCTTTTAAACAACAAGATCTCTCGTGAATTCATAGAGCAAGAACTCACTCATTACCAGGAGGACAGCACAAAACCATTCATGGGGATCCACCCTTGGGAAACAAACACCTATTACTAGGCCCACCTCCAACACTGGAGGTCGCATTTCAACATGAGATTTGGAGGGGACAAAACATCCAAACCGTATCACTAACGGAAAGTTATTGTTTAAATTTCTGTATTCAGTCCCTTGGCCTTTTTGAGAAATGCCATTCATTTCAGCCATCAAACAAATTATTATGTGAGACATTTATACCTCTTCATCCTTTAAAAGTTTCAGAAGCATGAATTTAAAAAGTATTCATTGTAAATTTGAGGCTAGTCAAATTGATGTGGCATCTAAGTAGCACGGTGATGGGATGAGGAGACAAAGTCA
Source organism: Homo sapiens (assembly GCF_000001405.40). Classification (NCBI taxonomy): domain Eukaryota; kingdom Metazoa; phylum Chordata; class Mammalia; order Primates; family Hominidae; genus Homo; species Homo sapiens. The sequence continues at coordinate 101,628 of NW_003315943.1, read as the reverse complement.
CGAGGGGAGGTAGGAAGAAGCAGAGAGAAAAAGAGAAATAGGAAGAGAGAAAAAGAAATGAGGAGAGAGTATAAGAAAAATAAAGAAGAAAGAGGAAAAGAAAAATGGTTTAAATGAGAGGCAAATGTCATCTGATGTTTTACCATGGGGCCATAGGGTATTTGAAGTTTCAGAAAATTCATAAGTTATTAAAAAATGTGACTCTAGGGTAGTGAGGTTATAACTTGTAAGAAAACAAGAAGTGATTCCTTTTAAGAGAACCTTCTTGGCCGGGTGCTGTGGCTCACGCCTGTAATCCCAGCACTTTGGGAGGCCGAGGCGGGTGGATCACGAGGTCAGGAGATCGAGACCATCCTGGTTAACACAGTGAAACCCCGTCTCTACTAAAGATACAAAAAATTAGCTGGGCGCCGCAGCGGGCACTTGTAGTCCCAGCTGCACGGGAGGCTGAGGCAGGAGAATGGCGTGAACCCGGGAGGCGGAGTTTGCACTGAGCAGAAATCGCGCCGCTGCACTCCAGCCTGGGGAACAATGGGGAACAAAGCAAGACTCCGTCTCAAAAAAAAAAAAAAAAAAGAAAAGAAAAAGAGGAACTTCCTAAAGATGCGGTTGTCTTTCTTATGCTTCCTTTAGCTCTTTTTTACCTCTCCACTGATACAGATTTTTATACCAAATAGCTGGCATTAGCTAAACCAATGTCTAGGAGAACTGATCCTCACGAAGGAAAATCATAATTTATTATTTTTTTAATTCATGGCATTTATTTGTACAAGAAATATATTTCTATTTAAGAGAAAGTAGAAAACAAAGGAGAACAGAAACAACTTTTTTTTTTTTTTTTTTTTTTTTGAGACAGAATCTCGCTCTGTCGCCCAGGCTGGAGTGCAGTGGCACGATCTCAGCTCACTGCAAGCTCTGCCTCCCGGGTTCACGCCGTTCTCCTGCCTCAGCCTCCAGAGTAGCTGGGACTACAGGCGCCCGCCACCACGTCCGGCTAATTTTTTTGTATTTTTAGTAGAGACGTGGTTTCACTGTGTTAGCCAGGATGGTCTTGACCTCCTGACCTCGTGATCCGCCCGCCTCAGCCTCCCAAAGTGCTGGGATTGCAGGCGTGAGCCACAGCGCCCGGCCGAAAAAACTTTTTAAAATTTGTTTGGGGATCTCCCATATTTGCCAAAGTAATCCCACAAAAACAATTAACATTTGACTTTGAAAATTAAGACAAAAAATACAATGATGAATATTTTCTTGTAAAAGCAAAGACAGTAAAAATATTCAGATTTAAAATAAGCCTGAGAAAAAGCATGATTTCCTTGAGCTTACCTAAGTAAACTTATTTACAAGTGACTGTATCAATAATTAGCAAAAGTAAAAGTCATTATGAAATCCTCCAAATCTTTCAAAGTACTATCTTACATTCAAGCATTGAGTTTGCCCATAAAATTATTTAAGCTCAACCTTTTCCTCAATCTCCAAAACTCTGGCGTGTAACTACACAAACACTTCAATAGGGGACAGAATCTCCTTTTATCATTCATTCTACCAAACATCAACTTCATAAGAATTAGAATCAAGTGTAATAAGAATGAACTATATAGAATCATTGATATAAATTTATAGGTGTTCAGACATAACCTTTAGACATATTTGTCAGTGTACATGTAAACAATACTCAATAACTTCTTTAATAGAGTTCTCCAGAGAAACAGAACCAATTGGATGTGGGTATATAACTCAGTTATATGTTTCATCAGCTTCCTTTTTATGTAATAGAAACTAACTACAGCTAATGATGAATTTTTTTCATTCATTCATCATTAAAAGGGGAGAGAGAAATCCAGGCTGGGTTTGTGCCATTTTTATTCCCTCACAGTTCTCTTCTTGCTGCATGATTCTTCCTTTCAGATATTAACCAGAAGGAATGGTTAGCCTGGCTATAGCTCTAGAGGAGCAACACAGGCTCTGGATAATGAGGATGCACGGGCTTTAATCAGTCCTAGCAGGAGGTCTTGGCTTAGACAACTATGTAGAGTTGATGGTATCCCTATAGGAAAAAAATATATATATATATGTTTTTGTGGTAGCAGGACAGAGTCAGTTTCAGACATTTGTTCAACAACTGTTGGTGTTCAACATATATTAGTATTTTGCACTAGGTACTATGTACTAAAAGTATAGTAAGGAATAAAAATAGGGAAATAAACAAAAACAAAGAAACAGAGAGAATTCCTATTACCCTTTAGGAAAAACAACATAAAATAAAGTAACAGAATCTAGAAATAGAGAATAACAAGATAGAAGCCTACTATATACCACCATTATCAACCTGTCAAAATAAACATTGTCAGTAGTGAGACAAACTGGAATCATGTACCACCTGATAGGATGCAATGAAAAAAACGCAGCATCAATTCTGTGATATTCTTGCCAAAATGCATTGCCTGACTCTAGTCACAAGGAAACCTCAGAAAACCTAAAGGGAGCCATTCAAAAAAGAAGGAAGGGAAAAGGAAAAAGTAAGGGAAAGAGAAAAGGAGAAGGAAGGGGAGGGGGAAGGGAAGGGGAGAGGGAAGAGAAAAAGGAAGGGGAAAGCGAAGGAGAAAGGAAAGGAGAAAAGGAAGGAGAAGCAAAGCAAAGGAAAAAAAGAAGAAAATATGGGCCAGAAATCTTGGTTAAGTTAGGTCTAAAGATCTATTCTTGATACAAGGACATTAAAAAGACATGACAATGAAAGGCAATGCATGATTCTGAACTTGATCCTTTTGCTATGAAACATTATTGGGACTATTGGTGAAAAATTTTTTTTTTTTTTTGAGACGGGGTCTCGGTCTGTCGCCCAGCCTGGAGTGCAGTGGCGCAGTCTGGGCTCACTGCAAGCCTCGCCTCCTAGGTTCACGCCATTCTCCTGCCTCAGCCTCCCGAGTAGCTGGGACTACAGGCACCCACCACCACACCCGGCTAATTTTTTCCTTTTTTTTTTTGTATTTTTAGTAGAGACGGGGTTTCACCCTGTTAGCCAGGATGGTCTTGATCGCCTGACCTCGTGACCCATCCGCCTCGGCCTCCCAAAGTGCTGGGATTACAGGCGTGAGCCACCGTGCCCGGCTGACTATTGGTGAAATTTTAATGCGGACTTGATAATTAGATGTAGCAATATATTAATATTAATTTTCTGGTTTTGTTCGTTGTACTGTGCGTGTATTGCATTTGGGGGGGCACATATATTACTGTAATAGATTTGTAACATATAGAATTATATATATGTATATACATATATAGACACAATTGTGTTTGTAGAAAATATATATGAAAGCAAGGTTTTTCAACTTTGGCACTATCGCTTCTGACATTTGGGCCACATAATTCTTTGTTGGGGGCATTTCCTGTGAATTGCAGGATGTTTAGCGACTTGGTTTGCCTTTAATAACTAAATGACAGTAGCATCCTCCTCACACCTTTGCCCAGGCTAACAACTAAAAATATCTTGAGATATTATCAGATGTTTCCTGGAGGGCAAAACTCCCCCTGGTTGAGAATCAGTCTACTAAAGTATTTGGAGATGACAGAGCATCAGGTTCGTTTCTATATATTATTAAAGTATCTTTCAAAGTTGAAGGTAAAATTAAGACATTTTCGGAAAAATTAAATGGGCCAATTTGTCACCAGCAAATCTGTACTACAAAACATGCTAGCAGAAGTTTTCTGGCCTGAAGGGAAATAACATCGAATCTAAACTCCAGATTAGAGGAAATGAAAAGCATAGAAATGGTAAGTATATGAGTAACAGGAAATACTTTTTTTTAATCTGTCGATTTTGTTGAAGGGAAACTGACTATTTAAATTTAAAAAGATATCATTTTATTGTGGGCTTTATGATGTGGATAGAAAAACTTATACTAAAAAAAATCACAAAAGACAGAGGGGGAGTAAAGGAAATGTTACCATCATCAGTTTTTGTTGTTGTTGTTTTGGGTTTTTTTAATAGACTTTATTTTTAGGGCAGTTGTAAGTTCACAGCAAAATTGAAAGAAAGATACAAAGATTTCTCATACATCATTGTGTCCACACAGGCACAGCCTGACCCCTTGCTGTCATTCTCCTCTGGAGTGGCACATTACTTACCGCTGATGAACCTGCACTGGCACATCCTTATCACCAAGGTCCATAGTTATATTAGGGTCCACGCTTGCTGTCATACATTCTATGAGTTTAGGCAAATTCATATACCAGTGTAGTATCATGCAGAATAGTTTTCTGCCCTGAAAGTCTTCTGTGCATATGAATAGGATAGGTGGAGCACAGATCACTTTTTAGGAAAATGTTGCCTTGTTTTGATTTGACAAAGTAGGCAACACTATCAATCACTGGAGAGAATGTAAAAATAGAACAGATGTCATCAGTTTTTTACATTATATATGAAGTTGTCAAAAATTACCTCTAAGTAAAATTTAGATTAGTTAAGTATAAATTGATGATTATTGTAATACAAATAACTCAATACAAAAAAGCGTTGCAACTAACTCATCTATGCAATTTAAAATGAATACTTAAAATACAATTAAACAAAAATACGAGAAGAGAAACAAGAGATTGTACAGTTTTTAAAAGTGGCAACACATTTCATTTAACATATTTATGAACTAAATTATTCAATTACAAGGTAGAGACTGTCATATTAGACAAAAGAATGAGACCCAACTAATGTTGTCTACCAGAAGCATATATTAAACATAAAGACACAGATAGATGAAAAGTAAACCTACAAGAAAAGATAAACCATATACACAGCAAGCATTAGGAAGCTTGTGTGGCTATATTAGCAAAATGCAATGTAGACTGGAAAAGAGGGTGCATTATAAGAGAAAATGGGGGCATTTCATAATTATGAAATAACCAATTCATCAGAGGACAATAATATTGCTTATATTATTGTCCTCTGATGAATTGGTTATTACATTATTGTCCTAATATGACATAGATGTCCATAATTATGAAATGCCCCCATTTCATAATTATGAAAGGGACACCAACTTAATAACAAAGCCTCATAATTCATGAAGGAAAAAGCAGAATTGAAGGGAGAAATGGATAAATGACAATAATAATTAAAGATTTTAACATCCCTCTGTTCATCACTGATTGAACAGTAAGACAAACCATTCGTATGGCTATAGAACATTTCAACTTCATTATAAATCACCTTGATCTTATTGACATTTATAAAAACTACATTTCAAATGCTGAATATACATTGTTTTCTTGTGTATTGAAAGCACCACCAACATAGGCCAAATGCTGAATCAAAAAGTAAGTTTAAATGAATTTAAGCTTTAGATTTTATAGAATATATTCTCTGATCACAATAAAATTTAATTTGAAATTGATGACATAAGAGATTCCTAGGAAACCCCCAAATAGTTGTAAATAACATGAAACACTATTTAACTCATAGTTCATAAAAGAAATCAAAAGATAATTTAGAAAAAATATGAAATAAGGAAAACAGTGTATTAAATAAACATCTGCACCTAGATGTTTATTGCAGCACTATTCACAATAGGCAAGATATGGAATCAACCTAAGGGTCCAGCAACAGATGATGGTTAAAGAAAATGTGGTATATAGGCCGGGCACGGTGGCTCACGCCTGCAATCCCAGCACTTTGGAAGGCCAAGATGGGTGGATCACTGGAGGTCAGGAGTTCGAGACTAGCCTGGCCAACATGGTGAAACCCCATCTCTACTACAAATATAAAAATTAGCTGGGCATGGTGGCACGTCCCCAGCTACTCGGGAGGCTGAGGTGGAAGATCACTTGAATCCGAGAGGCAGAGGTTACAGTGAGCCAAGATCACACCATTGCACTCCAGAGCAAGACTCCATCTCAAGAAGGGAAAGGAAGGAGAGGGGAGGGGAGAGGAGGGGAAGGGAGGGGACAGGAGGGGAAAAGGAATAGATACACAATGAAGTACTATTCGGCCATAAAAGCAACGTGCATAGAAATGGAGTGTATTATGTGAGTGAAATGAGCCAAGAAGAGAAAGTTAAACATTACAGCTTCTCACTCATATGTGGAAGCTAAAATATTTTGATCTTATAGAAGTTAAAACAGAGGATGCTAGAGGCTGGAAAGTATAAGAGGAAGGGAGGGATAGGGAGAGATTTGTTAAAAGATTCAAAATTAAAGCTAGATAGGAGGAATAAGTTCTAATGCTCTATACCATTATGGTATGACAATAGTTAACAATAACATATAGCTTCAAATAGTTAGCAAAGGATATTGAATGTTCCCAAAACAAAGAAATGATAAATGTTTGCAATGATGGATATGCTAATTACCATCACCTCATCAGGGTAATTAAATATATACACTATGAGTATTGAAACATCACTATGTACCCATAAATATGCACAATTATTATGTGCCAATTAAAAAAATAAAATAAAACAAAATTATGATAATAAAAGCTTCATATTTGTGGTGTAGAGTTAAATTGAGAGGGTAATTTATTATTTGAAATTCTTGTATTAGAAAAATACGTAGGTTTAAAAGTCAATGAAAAAATAAACAAATAAAACGTAATTTGAAAAAATAAAATAACAGGTAATGAAAGAAATAAATGAAATTGAAAGTAAATAAATTCACAAAGTGAAAAGTTCCTTTGAAAAAATCAGTAAAGTTGTTACATACTAGTAAGACTAAGAAAAAAGGACTGATAAAAGAAGAAATATCATTACAGAACCTCTATATTTAAATGATAATAACTATTATGAACAATTCCATACTCAAGAATTTGGCAGCTTAAAGTTCTTTAAAGAGACAAATTACCAAAGCTTATTTGAGAACAAATTCATAATGTGAATTTTTCTGTATCTATATGTATCCATATAGTCTAGGTTTTCTAATTTCTGGCCTATGGTTGCTCACAGTAGCCTCTAATGATCCTTACAATTTCAACAAAGAAATTCAGAAGAAATTGAAAAATTTATTGAAGCAGATAAAAACGGCAACACAACATACCAAAACCTATGGGATACAGCAAAAAGCAGTAGTAAGAGGGAAATGTATACCTATAATTTCCAAGATCAAAAAAGTGAAAAACCTCAAATAAATAACCTGATGATACATCTTTTTTTAAGGTCACTATAAATTTTAATCTATGATATAAAATATTACCTACAGATATAATTGAACATCAGGTATCAGAAAATAAAACATAACAATGAAATGCAATTTTGTAAATACTTCTATGGTACAAGCATTATTTTCCTCAGATTCAACCTTTTAATTGTGTTTTGTTTGCTTTCTGAAAATCACACTTTATAAAGAACACAAGTAGAGCTTGTTAAAATGATTGTCACAGATGTACTGTTTACTAATTCAAAAAATACTACATTCATTCGCTCATATCAATTTTATTCATTAATTATGAAGAAGAAAATATAATATTCCATGCTTGTCATGAAATAGCGGTTTCTTCTTCCAGTCTAATCAGGGAACTAATAAATGCTTAGTTCATGGCAAAACTTCCATTTGATTTACATTGACTTAATTACCTCTTAGGGTCTAGCCTCATCAATGGAGAAAAAGCACTTTTTCTTGAGGCAACAGCACATTAACAGCACTGAATACAAAATATGGCAAATTCAATGGCTGTCAGCATTGCTTTAGGAATTTTGAGACTATAAAAAAACTATAACCATGAATAAAAGAAAAGGGCTTATTAATATCTTCTTTTTGGGAGAGTGATACATTCTGAAGGTTTCTTGTTATTCTGTTGAATAGCAAGGACTTCCAAACTTAAGTGTCTTAAGGCTGAAAATTAGTTACATTCCTCAGATTTTAGCCTTATTAATGAAATTCCAAAAGTATTATAAGATTTAGTATGTCTTGAAATTATAAATTTGTAACAGATATTTTTCAAAATACATGCCTTCAAACAACTTAAATGCAAAAATCATTCGTTCTTAATAATACCTAGCAGTTCATCCCTTGCTTCCCAGAAGTACTCATACAAACATGTGAATTTAAAAAATAGATTTTTCTGTTCAAAAAATAAAGCTTCTGCCCTTTTAAAAACTTGTCAGGCTTTCATTTGCCAAAATGTTGAAAACTGCACATATTCAAACATAGTTCCCGTAGGAACACATATTCCTCAACTCTCACACCTTTGAAGACACAGGAGACGGGCAATATAAATGTTCCCTTCTTTCCAGCTGATGTTAAATAGTTAGGTTTGCTTCATGAGATTATCGGAATAAAGGGTTAGATTTTCATTTTCCATTACTCTATCTAGTAAAATTAGACTTAAAGTAGGTAGAATACTACCAGAGGAATTACACAGTGATTGGCAAACTGGCCTAAAATAATCAGGCTTTTTATTTATACTTCCCTTTTTAAAGTTGTCATTTGACAACAGCTTCCATCTTTAACAGCAGGCAAAAGAAAATGAGGTGCCATGCTATATTAATTAAAATATTCCACAATGAAAGAAAATACAAAACCTGAAAATAACTTCAGTGCTACAGACATTTAAAAAGTTACAATGGTTAAAACTCTGAATAAAAAGATCTTGAGAACAGGTACATTTCAAAGCAATATTTTACACGCTTTGGAAAAAATAGCTATTTTTCAAATAACTTGATATATGGTTTACATATTTCATGCAGTCTCTGAGGTGTTTTTTTTTTCTACAATACTGTTTTGCATTAAAGTCTCTCATGTTGTTTACCAGTAATTGTTTCCTTAGGCTGAAATAAAACTTTGCTTGTTCATTAGTTTTCTGTATATCCCATTTGGTTTTGAAAGCAGCTCTTCATGTTTTCCATATTCAGTAATTTTTCCTTGGTCAAGAACAGCAACCATATTAGCATTCTTAATGGTGGAGAGATGATGGGCAATAACTAACGCTGTTCTTCCATCCATCAGTGGATCTAGAGCTTCTTGAACAAGGTACTCATTTTCAGCATCCAGCGCACTGGTTGCTTCACTAGGAGAAGAACTTTGGGATTCTTCAGCAGAGCACGGGCAATTGCAATCCGCTGTTTCTGCCCACCTGAGAGGAGAACACCCTTTTCTCCAACCACAGTGTTGAACCCTTGGGGGAAATTCCGGATCAAGACCACTGCATTGGCCACTTCAGCCACTCTCTGGACTTGCTCAGCGGTCACAGAGGAAGGCCATCAGCACCATAAGCAATGTTCTCAGTGATAGAGCAAGAAAACAAAATGGGTTCCTGTCTCACTGTCCCAATCTTGGATCTCAGCCACACTGGGTTTAGCTGACGGATGTCATGGCCATCAAGACTGATAGTTCCAGAAGCAGGGTCGAACAACCTCAGCAGGAGCGAAAGCACTGTTGATTTGCCAGAACCACCTGGGCCAACCAGTGCCGTGACAGATCCTGACGGAATGGAAAGGCTGAAATCCTGAAATATGGGCGCCTCTGGGCAAGCGGGATCGGCAAAATGCACGTTCTTAAACTCCAAAGCACCCTGGAAGCTTTTCTCATTTAAGATAACCCTTCCCCCTCCTTAAAAGGCAGATTGGGCTCTCTCTCCAGGAGCTCCCAGAGGCGCCCCCCGGCACCCAGTCCTTTCATCAGCTCCGAGTAGAAAGAGCTCAGACCTCCAATGCTTATTCCAACCCCGAAAGCATACATAGGAAGGGAGAGAGTTCACCCATGGTCATGTGGGCACTGCCCATCAGCAGCCCCCCTTTGTACAGGTTCAGAAAGCACAATCAGGTTTCCGGACAGCCTAGTTCTCCAAAGAAGCCAGCCTGAGCGAATGCCTCTTTCCTTGCTGACTACATCACATGGTCCACTTTGCTGGCCTATTTTTCTATTTCAGTCATTTCTTTCCCAAAAGCTCGAACAGTTCTTAACATTTCCAATACGTTCCTCCTGAGTGGCTTGTGCCAGCGAATCCTGGGTGACTTTGGTCAGTTTCCGTAGATATCGTCCATAAATTACATCAATGATTGACACTAGAGGCACCACGCTCACAACAAAGGTGGCCCGATTAGGTGAGACACAAAACATCATCCTGATGCCTATAGAAGCCCGGGCCCCGGCCCTGAGCCCATCTGAGAGGTTTTCAGTCACTGAGCGCCCCAGGAGTGCAGTGTCCGATGAGAGGCGGTTAATCAATTCCCCTGTGCCAGCCTTGTCAAAGAAAGCAACCTCCTGCTTCAGAATGGAGAATAACGAAGTTCTCAGCCTCTTCACAACGCGCTGACCTGAAGTTTGCATGAGGTAGACACGAATGGCATTGGCGGCAGCACCACACAGAAACACGCCACTGAGGCCAAGGCAGAGGCGGGTCAGGTTGTCGCTGTAGTCCACAGTGGGGTTGGTATAGATGGCATCGATGATCTTCCCCAGGAAGAAAGGGGCAGACATGGAGATAACACCGGACATCGGAGAAATCCAACCGCAGCTGCCAGCCTCTGGCGCTCAGGGTACTCCAGCCCCAGGAGCTTCCCGGCCTCCGAGAGTCCGGGCGCCATGGGTCGTAGCCGCTGGTCGTCCCGGGAAGGCGCCGCCCGCCCGCGCCGCCAGGCCTCCTCCCCTGCCCAGGCAGTGGCGGTGGGACCGCCCGGGAACCCGGCGCGCGGGAGCCGAGGAGCGCCCGGCCGGCAAGAGCCCCGCACCTGCAGCTGCCGGGCCCAAGCCCACAGCCCCGGGAGCCGTCCGAGGCCCGCGTGGCCCCCCGAGCCGCCCAGACCCCCGCCCCGGCAGCAGCTCCTCCAGCGGCGCGCGGCTCCAACGCCCCAGAGCAGCGCCGGCCCCGCGCCCCATAGCCGCGCCAGCCTCGGGGCAGTGAAGGGCGATATGGACTGGGGGCGCGGCTGGCCGGGGCCCACACACAGGCTACCGGCGGGAGCCGCCCTGGCTCTGCGGGGCCCGTGGCGCCGATACATCTTAAAAGAACTAGAAAAGCAAGAATAAACCAGACCCAAAATAAGTATAGAAGAAAGGAAAGAATAAAGATAAGAGCAAAAATTAATGAAATTGAAATGAAAAAATACAAAATATGAACAAAACGAAAAGTTCGTTTTTTAAAAAAGATAAACCAAACCAGTAACCTTTAGCCACACTAAAAAAAAACAAAAAACCCTAAATAAATAAAATCAAGATGAAAATGGGGACATTTTCATTGATACTGTAGAAATTCTAAGGATCATTAGAGGCTAGTATGAGCAACTATAGACCAATAAATTAGAAAATCTAGAATAAATGGATACTTTCCTAGATACATACAACCTAGCAAGAATGAACCACAAAGAAATCCAAAACCTGAAAAGACCAATAAGTAGTGAGACGGAAACAATTTTCCCAGGAAAAGCCGGGTGCAGTGGCTCACGCGTGTAATCCCAGCACTTTGGGAAGCCGAGGCGGGCGGATCACGAGGTCAGGAGATGGAGACCATCCTGGCTAACACGGTCAAACCCCGTCTCTACTAAAAAAAATACAAAAAAAAAAAAAATTAGCTGGGCATGGTGGCGGGTGCCTCTAGTCCCAGCTACTCAGGAGGCTGAGGTAGGAGAATGGCGTGAACCTGAGGGGCGGAGCCTGCAAGTGAGTCGAGATCAGGCCACTGCACTCCAGCCTGGGCGACAGAGCGAGACGCCCTCTCAAAAAATAAAAAAAAGTTTCCCGGGAAAGAAAAGCCCAAGACCCGACGGCTTTACTCCTGAATTTTACCAAATATTTTTAAAAGTAGCACAAAATGCAGCAGCAGGATTCTCCTGCCCCAGCCTCCTAAGTAGCTGGGGCTACAGGTATGCACCACCACGCCTGACTAAAACTGTTTTTGTAGAGACAAGATCTCACTATGTTGCCCAGGCTGGTCTCAAACTCCTAGGTAAAATGATCCTCCCACCTCTGCCTCCCAAAGTGTTAAAATTGCAGGCATAAGCCATTGCCCCTGCCTGAAAAAATTATATGTATATATATTTATATATATATATATTTATATATATATATATATATATATGTTTTTGTTTTTTTTTTGAGACAGAGTCTCGCTGTGTCACCCAGGCTGGAGTGCAGTGGCACGATATTGGCTCACTGCACCCTCTGCCTCCAGGTTCAAGTGATTCTCATGCCTCAGCCTCCCGAGTAGCTGGGATTACAGGCATATGCCACTACACCCGGCTGATTTTTGTATTTTTAGCAGAGACATGGTTTCACCATGTTGGTTAGGCTGGTCTTGAACTCCTGACCTCAAGTGATCCGCCCACCTCAGCCCCCCAAAGTGCCGGGATTACAGGTGTGAACAACCATGCCTGGCCAAAAATAATTTTTTTAAAAAGATTTTGTTCTGATTCTGATGGGAAAGGGACTCTTTTCTAAAGTTACTAGCAGTTCTTTAACTGGTTAGCTCTATGTTAGGCATAGGTATTACTTTTTAGGGTGGCAGGTATGTGAAAAAAGAAGGGAGGTGGACAAAACCAAGACAGCAGAAGTAACTATTTGAGGGATTTCAAAACCTTTGACTGACACTCACTTCCTGGGACAGTCTTGATTTTGCTACTCTTTCCTCATCTGTTTCTTTTCAAGCCTTGCTCCCTACACACTTACCCTAGTTCTAACCCTTCCTGCTGATGGGCACCCTATTCACAAGGCAACAGATACCAGATGTGAGGAATGGAAAGAAAAACATTCTTACTTGATTGTTCTTAGGAGTTATACAGTCAGGCTCTTGGTTGGAGGGCTCTGATGTGAAAGCTTGGCTTCAAGTCCACTGAGAAAGTCGTATGATTGAAGTGGTGAACTGGAGATGGGGTGGGGGTGGCCTACCACGAGGACTAATTTGTTCTTTACGTGTTTTTGTTTTTTTATTTTTTTAGACAAAGTCTCACTCTGTCGCCCAGGCTGGAGTGCAGTAGCGCAATCTTGGCTCACTGCAAGCTCCGTCTCCGAGGTTCATGCCATTCTCCTGCCTCAGCCTCCTGAGTAACTAGGACTACAGGCACCTGCCACCACACCTGGCTAATTGTTTGTATTTTTAGTAGAGACGGGGTTTCACACTGTTAGCCAGGATGGTCTCGATCCGCTAACCTCATGATCCACCCGCCTGGCCTCTCAAAGTGCTGGGATTACAGGTGTGAGCCACTGTGCGTGACCTGTTCTTTATCTAATGGTTTGCAAGGGTGGAAATACCTCTGGGGAAATGTGATGGATTCTCCTAGGAAACTGACTTCACCAAATAATTCTTTTGAAACTGTTCAGAAACGAGACAAATGACATGAATCTATTTACAAAGAGAATTACCTCTGTGTCTGTGACCCAAGAGGCATTCCCATAGTGATACACTTGGACATTTGTTCAGGGGGCAAGCGCTCACGCCGAGTGATTTTCTTTTTTCTTTTCTTTTCTTTTTTTTTTTTTTTGTTTGTTTGTTTTTAAGACTGAGTCTCGCTCTGTCGCCCAGGCTGGAGTGCAGTGGTTCGATCTCAGCTCACTGCAAGGTCCCCCTCCCGGGTTCACACCATTCTCCTGCCTCAGCCTCCCCGGTAGCTGGGACTACAGGCGCCCACCACCATGCCCGGCTAATTTTTTGTATTTTTTTTTTTTTTTTTTAGTAGAGACGGGTTTGACCGTGTTAGGCAGGATGGCCTCGATCTCCTGACCTTGTGATTTTCAAAGCTGTTCGAGGGCATTTATCAGGCTTTTAACTCTAGGTACTCTTTCCCACAGTGTGAAGGCCAAGAGAAGGGATCCTGGGCTCTCTTCCCTGGCCCCAGGATGGGAATTCAGGGGGAAAAGGTCACCTATTCTCCTATTCTTATCCCACAAAAGAAAACTTATGCATCAGTTGTCAAGCTAAGGAGCTTCAGAGTCCACAAATAGGGAAATTGCTAAGAGCTTATCAGTAGTGTCCACTACCCATCCCCACCTGGGGTCACGTGGAGAATGATGGTGGGGGCGACGATCTTGTCCTACTTCAGGTGAAAAGCAGGGGTGTGGGGGGGTTTCATTGTGAAGGGCTCCTTTGTTAAAATTCCTTCCAATTCCAGGAAAAACATGCACTCGAAAGCCATTATCTCTTTTACTTCTTACTAGGGAACTTCCAGGAAAGAGACGGGGGGGGCGGGTGGGGAAGAAGAGGGCAAAACAGCTGCAGTGAATGTAGTCACCTCTCCGATTGCTTTTCTTGTTGCAGAATATTTCACATGCCAGGATTTTCCTTCTTGTCCTCCGGACTGTTGATACACCCAACATCTTAATACGCTTTCAATCACAAGTTAAAGACATCCAGAGCCAGATTGCTTGAGCCTAGGAGTTCCAGACCGGCCTGGACAACATGGTGAAACCCAGTCATATATATATATTTTTTTTTAGGGGGAAATTTGCTCTTGCTGTCCAGGCTGGAGTGCAGTGGCGAGGTCTCAGCTTGCCAGACCTCCGTCTCCGGGGTTTGGGTGGTTCTCCTGCCAAAGCCTCCCGAGTGGCTGGGATTGCGGTGTGAGCCACCATGCCCGACTAATTCCTTAACTGTGCAACTACAAGGTCACTAAACAAATAAACTCAAGTCACAAAACATATTTTTCCTTAAATAGTAAAAAATAATATAATGCATGTTTCAATTAAATAACAATCTTTGTTTCTCGCTTCTATAATATGCTTCTCCCTGCACAGATCTCCCCCTTCGCCCCACATAATGCTTGAAAGGTAACTCTTGGTTCAGTGCTCAATCCTTTAAATGTTAATCCGACTGGGCCGGTGCACCTAAATAATTAATAAATGTCCTCCTAAACCCCATGAGTCTATCTAATTCCTTAAAAATCCCTCTACAGGACTGCAGGTGTGAGCCACTGCACCCCGCCTAATTTATTAATCAGAGAGGAATAGATCGGCCTGGCGTGGTGGCTCACGCTTGTGATCCAGGGACTTTGGATGATGGAGCACTGGGGATCACTTGAGCCTAGGAGATCCAGACTGGCCTGGGCAACATGGTGGAACTCGGTCTCTCTCTTTTTTTTGTTTTTTTGGAGGCAGAGTTTTGCTCTTGTTGCCCAGGCTGGAGTGCAGTGGTGCAGTCTCGGCTCCCTGCCACCTCCACCTCTTGGGTTTGGGTGGTTCTCCTGCCTCAGCCTCCCTAGTGGCTGAGATTGCAGGTGTGAGCCACCATGCCCGGCTAATTTTCTTTTTTTTTTTTTTTGGTACACACAGGGTTTCTCCCTGTTGGTCAGGCTGGTCTCAAACTCAGGACCTCAGGTTATCCGCCTGCCTTGGCTTCCGGGGATGCTGGGATTGCAGGCGTGAGCCAGCGCGCAAGGCCCAATTGATTAATCAGAAAAGAATAGATCAGCCTGGCGTGGTGGTTCACGCTTGTGATCCCAGGACGTCGGACGGCCGAGCGCTGGGGATCACTTGAGCCTAGGAGTTCCACACCGGCTTGGGCAACATGGTGAAACCCGGTCTCTCTTTTTTTTGGCGGGGGGGGTACAGGCAGGGTTTCTCCATATTCATCAGGCTGGTCTCAAACTCCCGACCTCAGGTTATCTGCCCGCCTCCTCGGCCTCTGGGGATGCTGGGATTGCAGGCGTGAGCCAGCGCGCCCGGTCCAGTTTATTAATCATAAAGGACTAGATCGGCCTGGCATGGTGGCTCACGCTTGTGATCCCAGGAATTTGGACGGCAAGCGCGGCGGATCGCTTGAGCCTAGGAGTTCCAGACCTGCCTGGGTAACATGGTGAAACCTGGTCACTTTTTGTTTGTTTTGAGGCGGAGATTCGCTCTTGTTGCCCAGGCTGGAGTGCAGTGGTGAGGTCTTGGCTCAACGGGCCTCCGCCTCCAGGGTTTGGGTGGTTCTCCTGCCACAGCCTCCCGAGTGGCTGGGATTGCACGCGTGAGCCACCATGCCCAGCTCATTTTGTTTTTTGTTTGTTTTTGTTTTTATTGTTGGAGATGGGGTTTCTCCATGTTCATAAGGCTGGTCTCAAACTTCCCACCTCAGGTTATCCGCCCGCCTCGGCGTCCGGAGGTGCTGGGATTGCAAGCGTGAGCCAGCGCGCAAGGCCTAATCTATAAATCAGAAAGGAATAGGGCCGGGGATCCCTTGAGCCTAGGAATTCCAGACAGGCCGGGGCAACACGGTGAAACCCGCTCTCTCTTTTTTTTTTTTTTTTTTTTTTTTTTTTTTTGCGGCAGTTTCACTCTTGTTGCCCGGTTGGAGTGCAGTGGCGCGGTCTCAGCTCCCCGCTGCCTCCGCTTCCCGGATTTGGGTGGTTCTCCTGCCTCAGCTTACCAAGTGGCTGAGATTGCAGGCATGAGCCAACATGCCTGGCTCTTTTTGTATTTTTTTTTTTTTTTTGGTATAGACGGGGTTTCTCCCTTCGTCAGGGTAGTCTCAAACTCCTGACCTCAGATTACCCGTCTGCTTCGGCCTCCCGGGGTGGTGGGATTGCAGGCGTGAGCCACCATGCCCAGCTTATTTTTTTTTCTTTTTTGGTAGAGACGGGTTTCTCCATGTTGGTCAGGCTGGTCTCAAACTCCCGACCTCAGGTGATCCGCCCGCCTCGGCCTCCCAGGGTGGTGGGGTTGCAGGAGGGAGCCACCGCGCCGGGCGCAATTTATTAATCAGAAAGGAACAGATGGGCCTGGCGTGGCGGCTCATGCTTGTGATCCCAGGACTTCCGATGGCCGAGCGCGGCGGATCCCTTGAGCCTAGGAGTTACACGCCGGCCTGGGCAACATGGTGAAACTCAGTCTCTCTCTCTCTCTCTTTTTTTTTTTTTGAGAGGGAGTTTCACTCTTGTTGCCCAGGCTGGAGTGCAGTGGCAGGGTCTCAGCTCCCCGCAGCCTCAGCCTCCCGGGTTTGGGTGGTTCTCCTGGCTCAGCCTCCCGAGTGGCTGGGATTGCAAGCGTGAGCCACCATGCCCTGCTAATTTTTTTTTTTTTTTTTTGGTAGAGATGGGGTTTCTCCATGTTACTCAGGCTGGCCTCAATCTGACCTCAGGTTATCCGCCCGCCTCAGCCTCCCGGGGTGCTGGGATCGCAGGCGTGAACCACCGCAACCGGCCCAATTTTTAATCAGACAGGAATAGATCGGCCTGGCGTCATGGCTCACGCTTGTGATCCTAGGATTTTGGACGGCTGAGTGTGGCAAATCGCTTGAGCCTAGGAGATCCAGACCCGCTTGGGCAACATGGTGAAACCTGTTTTTTTTTTTTGAGACGGAGTTTCCCTCTTGTTGCCCAGGCTGGAGTGCAGTGGCGCGGTCTCGGCTCGCCGGGCCTCCGCCTCCCGGGTTTGGGTGATTCTCCTGCTTCAGCCTCCTGAGTGGCTGGGATCAAGGGCGTGAGCCACCAAGCCTGGCTACTTTTATTTATTTATTTATTTATTTATTTATTTATTTATTTATTTAGGTTGAGATGGGGTTTCTCCATGTTGGTCGGGCTGGTCTCCTGCTCCTTACCTGGGGAGATCCGCCGGCCTCGGCCTCCAGGGGTGGTGCGATTGCAGGCGTGAGTCACTGTGCCTGGCCGGAAACCCAGTCCCTTAACGGAAAAACAAAACAAAAACCACAAAGATTAGCCAGACCTGGTGGGCCCCCCTGGGTAGTCCCAGCTACTCTGAAGGCTGATGCAGGAGGATTGCTTGAGCCCGGGGTGGAGGTGGCAGTGAGCCATGATGGCGCTGCTGCAGTCCAGACTGGGTGACAGAGCAGGACTGTGTCTCAGGAAAAGGGAAAGGAAAAAAAGAATAATAAAAAGAAGTATATAAAATTGCTAAATCCAGGAACAGCTTCACAGTATATTGAGAGAAATAGAGGCAAAGGTTAGCAGACACCAATGTTCACTTAGTGGAACTGCAGGTGTCCCCAGACAGGAGGCTGCTACTTTTCCAACAGAAATCTATTATTGACCAAAAAAAGTTAGTTTGTTACAATATACAAATAGCTAAACTTTATATAGCCACGACCCTCTTCTAGCACTGCTCTAAGCCTTTTCCTGCTCTGGAATAGCTACTATTGTTACCTCCATTGTAGAGAAAACAGATGGGGGAGGTTGTTGTGGAAGGACCAGGGAAACTGACTATGAAATTGACTTGTAAGTTTAGGACTTAAAGGTTCTTCCTGCTTTGCTCCTTACATTGCCACATTTTAGTTAACATACCTCTTAAAATACTGGTCCTTTCTGTATTTGGAGGGACTCCTCTTGCAGTTTGAAGTTTTTTCTTACACTAAGCATCTGGTTAGAAGATCATCTCCATTTTATGTCAGTTTAAGTTTAGACATTGTTCAGTAAGGAATGTAAATATGAGCAAACAGTTATCTGATTGAAATAGATAAACTAGAAAAAAAATCACCTATGAGAAAGTCAACAAAATGTCAACTCTGGATTTGTGGCTATTTTCAGAATATTAATTTTTTGATATTTAATGGCATTGTGAATATATTTATTTTTAAGAATTCCTTGTCTTCTACAGATACATATAAGGTAATTAAAAATGATAGGATGTATAGGTTTTACTTCAAAATAATTCAGAGGAAGAAGGAATGTATATAAATGAAGTGGGAATATAAATGAAACAAAACTGGCTGTGGCCAGGTGTGGTGGCTCACGCCTGTAGTCTCAGCACTTTGGGAGACCGAGGCAGGTGGATCACCTGAGGTCAGGAGTTCAAGACCAGCCTGGCCAACGTGGTGAAACGCCATCTCTACTAAAAATACAACAATTAGCCGGATGTGGTGCCGGGTGCCTGTAATCCCAGCTACTCGGGAAGCTGAGGCAGGAGAATCGCTTGAACCTGGGAGGTGGAAGTTGCAGTGAGCCAAGATCATGCCACTGCACTCCAGCCTGGGCAACCACAGCAAAATCCCACCTTTAAAAACAAACAAACAAACAAAAAGCAACCAAAAAAAAAAACTGTCCATACCATGAATGAAAAATTGTTGATGATGTGTATATGTAGGGCAATTATATCATTTATTATATATAATATATATATTATTTTTCTCAACTTTTTTTTACATCTGAAACTTTCTATTGAACACATGGACATGTCCCTTGATAACTGGGGCTGCTTCCCCATTATTCTCTCAGCAGCCCTTCTGATTTTCACTCCATCTTCATTCTTAGAGATTCTGGATTTTATTTTTTTTTTTTTGGGAAGTTCAAGTATGTCTTTGCAAGGATTATCCAGCGTGTCTACCTACTCAATCATATTATCAGAAACAGAAAAAGTGTCCAGATTCTTGTCTTGTCCTGTTCAGATTTTTTAAATTCCAAGAACAGTCACCTTCTACCAGACACTCTGATGTTGGAAGACAAAGCATATTTGGTAAGTGGCGTGATTTCTGGGCTCCGATTTAGAACAGTCACAGCTTTCAACAATCCAAAAATAGCTGACTGTGACTCACCATATTTAGAAAGATGGAGATTATTAAAAAAAGAAAACCTTAATTTATCATGTGACCTCTAAGTATCTCGGCTGAAAATTGTAAAGATAGAAAGGTAAATCAAAAGATACAGAGACTGTAATCATGCACTTAATAAAGCGCTAAATCAAAATATATTTGGCATATGTGAAAGAGTTTAATTTTATCCCATTTTCTACTGGCACTATAGGTATTTGTAAGTACATATAAAACTACAGTGTTACATATAAACTACCAAAAAAGAACTTAAGAAACGAGACTAATCTAGCAACTTTATTTAAAAGTTTATCTTAAGGGAATAATTAAGGATGTCCATACAAAAGGATTTAGCCATGACACGAGAATGTTCTTCCTGGCAAATCAATGGAAATTATTAAATGTGCAAAAGGGAACTGTTGGAATAAATTCTAATGCCTTCATATGATCGTATGTCGTAACCTTTTAAAATGATATTAAAGAGTTGCATACATTGACTTAAACAGATATTCATAACACATCACTGAATAGGAGAAATACGGGCCAGCAAAGAACATAGAGTTGGTCCAATTTCTACAAAAAAAAGAAGACTAATAGCATGACAGCAGGGAAGGGGGAATATGTCAATGTATGTGTGTATATATATATGTATGCATAGCAAGTATGAACTTGAAAGGATATATATCAAATTGTTTACACAGATTACCTCAGAGAGGTAAATAACTGGCCTTTGGTGTTCTGTGTTCCATAGATTCTGAATTTTCTTTTTTTATTTAAATAGAGATGGGATCTTAGCCAGGAGCAGTGGCTCACACCTGTAATCCCAGCACTTTGGGAGGCTGAGGAGGGCGGATTGCTTAAGGCCAGGAGTTGAAGACCAATCTGGCCAACATGGCAAAACTCTGTCTCTACTAAAAATCCAAAAATTAGCCAGGCGCAGTGGCTTATGCCTATAACCCCAGGTACTCGGGAGGCTGAGGCATAAGAATTGCTTGAACCAGGAGGCGGAGGTTGCAGTGAGCAGAGATTGCACCACTGCACTCCAGCTTAGGCAACAGACCGAGACTCTGTCAAAAAATAAAAACAAAACAAAACACCACCACCAACAACAAAACAGTAATAAAGAGAAAATCTTATGGACAGGAGCAATGTCTCATGCCTGTAACCCCAGTGCTTTGGGAGGCCAAGATGGGAGAATCGCTTGAGCCCAGGAGTTCAAGACCAGCATGGGCAACATAGCAAGACCTTTTCTCTACAAAAAATTTAAAAATTAGCCAGGCATAGTAGTGCATGCTTATACTCCCAGCTACCTGGGAGGCTGAGGTGGGAGGATCACTTGAGCATGAGAGTTGGAGGTTGCAGTGAACTGTGATCACACCACTGGGAAGCCATGACCCCATCCCTGCCTTCTTCCTCTGTCCTATGCTAGCAATAAGTAAGTTTCCCAGCCACAAATAATTATTAGAACCTCCTCCCCATGTGCCACCTCCAACCACCGCTAGGTATGATACAGGGGTGGCCCTACCCTCTGGAATATACAAAACCTTACACAGACACAATATATACACCGGGGAAGGGGGGCCACCCCAGCAGCCCGTGCCTTCGCCTGGTCCACAGTTAGCCCCACTGTCCTGCCTCAGCTACCTCTCTGAATAAGAAGATTGGAGCCCCCACTGAGGGAAAAGTTGCTATGGTGAGAGTAAGGAGGCCATGAGGCCTCCTCCAAACAAACCAACTCCACCAGCCTCTGGCTCTTAAATAACAATATCATCCAGAAATTTAAGGACTCAGCTCTGGTCAAGGTGGCAAAGGGTCTGTTTGTCTTTCCTCGTTAGACAGAGGTCTTGTCCTGCTACCCTAATTGTAAAGGGGTGACTGGGAAGGGGAGATAGGGACAGTGTGGTGGTGGAGACCCCGGCCCCACTTCTCCAGGCTTTGCTGACAGGGGCCTGCTTTTAATTTTAATTTTTATTTTTATCCCATGCCTTTTTTTTTAAATCCCATAACTTCTTTTTCATAACTTTTTTTGGTAACTTTTCATAAAACTTTCTTCTACTTTTTGGTCACAAGATTTTTTTGCCACAACTTTTTTACATTTTTTATCCCATAACTTTTTCACCCCATAACTTTTGTTAATCCCATAACTTTTTTATTTTGTGTTCTTTTAATAAACCCTTGCATAGTTATATTACAATTTTGTAAAAATGAAACATTATCTCATGCCAAGCATGCCCAGCATTTGCACAGTATCAATACCTTTAATACTATATTTTTGAAGACACACAGAATAAAATTTTAAGGCAAAAACAGCACTTTGCAACAACTTAATAATTTATTACATTACAGTAGCATCACACCAGCAGTCAATAATGCCACTTTAGGCAAAAGTCTTTCAGTATTTCCGTTTTACATTCCGCTTACAAGAATTCATAAATTGGTAAAATTCATTCTAAGAAAACTTGGCAAATAAAGCTTTGGACTGGAATTGGCATTTCTTTCTCTACTTTTCCTTCCCACCGTTTATTTCCTTTACAGTATTCATATTTTAAAATGTTTTAACTTATTTCAGAACATTAAGATAGCAGTTACATTGTTTAATAGTTATTTTAAAATGACTCTTTCAGATAAAGTTTTAGAGAAACTATAGTATGGATAGGGCTGATTTACATTTTCAAATTTTCTAAAAATCAGCTTTGGTTTTAGAGCTGATTTTTGTTCATTTCTGGAAAACCTATCAGATTTAATCCAATACTTTAAAAATGATTATTATATATTGCAATCTTTAAATCGGTGATTTGATTCTTCCTACAGAAATTCAAATTTATTGAATTGAACTCACATTTTAGAATTCTGTTTCTGATGAACTCTAACCTTCCAATGTTGCCCTCTAAGCAAATTGAAAGCTGCCTTATACCGAATGAGGAAGAATACCAATACTTGGCTGAATGAGGTATCGCAAAAGACTGCATGCACTTTGAAGAAAGACTTAAGTTATAGTCATGCGATTTCCATTCTTTTTAGCTTTTTCTTCAATATACGACAAATATCTACACAAAGAGTGGTATTTCCGTTAATACAGTCAATTTATTTTCCAGATTGACATTCAGCTTAAATATGCCAGTATGTGATTTAATCCACAGGCACCTGATGAACACATTATTGTCAGATTGGTTACAGATGCTCGTAGTTGTCTTTAAACTGAACTCAAAGAATGCAAAAACATCAAGTTCAGAAAATAAAAGGCAAGGACAGGACTTTAAGTGCATTTTAAAGCCACGGGCGAGAAATCGTACCACTGTTAACTAGCCGCATTATTTGGTCTAACATTTTTTCTTTATCATTCTGAAACTGGGTTTATCTAATACATTGATACATTCATACAATTTGGAAGAGTCCGTTGAAGTCACAAGGACCCGATGTTTGCACTCTTTCAGTGATTGCCGGCAAATCTGTTATTCCATCGGCAAAATCGTACTGCTGCTCTCCTGTTAATGTCGTATTTATAAAAGTATCATGAGGATGCCAAATGCTAAAAATGGAGATGGTCTAGTAACTAGAAATCCCCACCCCAGGGAGCACACATACATATCTCCCTACATCCTAATAATGTGATGTGTTTTGGAACACAGACATTAGAACTTCATGAAGTTTTAACTGTTGAGTCTTTCCCAAGCATCATCAAGTTATGATTTAGGCAATGTACAACTGAAATTCATTCATTCATCATGCATAGGCACAATCACATAAATACTGCACAAAATATGCCCGTAAGTGAAACCCAGAGGTACAGAAACACATTTCACTCTTCACAAAGAAGTTTGTGAGGAAATATAACTCTGTGATTGTATAGACATGTTTCCTGATAATACACTGACATTCACCAACAGTAGATTGCACTGCAGTTTGTACACATTTTAAGTTGCATAAACTTCTCCTTGATTTTCAAAGATAGTATAATACTGTCTACTAAAACTCCTTTTTGTTTCAACTAAGCACTCTCACATATATTAGTTTATAACAATGTTTATTATTATTTCAAAGTGTTTTCCATTCAAGGAAAAGAAGTCAATTCCTATGTCAAAGTAACCAAGGTGGTTGAAGAATAGGCAGAGTGGTCTAGATGGTAAAATCAATCTTCAAGCCTCAAAGAAGCTCCATGAACAGAGGAATGCCAGGTGTCACACAGCTTTCCTTCACTCTAATTCATTCTTGACTAGAGCCTGTATGCCTGTTCCAGGGACATTTGAACTCTTAAAGGATTTCTTCTGATCTTTACTAAATACATTAAGAAGAATGCCAACCAGTGCCCTTTTGTGTACTGGGACATGCAGTCATGTGATTAAAACAGGTAACATGAACTCTGACTTTAAAATATAGATACAAATGCTCTAAGCTAGGAAAGGTTTTCCACATCCGTAGTCAATGATGGGAACCTTTCATTCCTCAGAAATAAGCCCTTTTTAGGTCATCAAAAAAGAGTACAACTGCTGAAGCTCATGATGCAATATCTTCATGAGCCCAGAGCACATACAAATCCTAAAGGAACTACAATAGTACAGCACTAATTCTTGGCAACAGAACAAATGAAACACACTCTATCTTGCACATACCTGCCAGAGCAGGCAACTTTCCTCTTCTGTGAAATTTAAAAAGCTCCCCCAAAATGTTATTACTCCCATCACCAATACACAGAAAATGAGGGAAAGGCTGTTTCCAGTTCTCGGCCTTTAAACAACTCTAAATGTCAGTACTCTTGGTGGCATATTACAAAGTATTAAATAGTGCACACTTGGGGCAAACCACATATTGTGCTAATGAAGAGCTCACTGTGATTAAGATTAGATCAAACAACAGCAGAACATAGGCACATTTTATCTGAATTCTGTAATGAATATACATGCTGCAATAACATTAAAAACACATGGCAGCCTATTCCAAACCAGCAAGAATAGTTTTGTGCAAATAGTGGGTCTTTGTGTGTTTGAACTCCCACCACGTAAGGGCAAACTCAATATGCATGCTAATGACCTACAATTATGAAATTGAAAAAGAAAATTGCGAAAGTATGCCAGAGTGAACATCAGTGAAAGCCACAGAGACCCACTCTCTTTTAACTATTTACAAATAAACTTAAACTATAAATTAGAAACACAAATAATCATAAGTGGCTATAACATTCAAACGAAGTAAATGAATTGTGTAGGAGATTAACCCCATAACTTTGTTTCTTTTTTAAAAATTTCTTCAGCAGCTCTTTGACGATGGTGATGTTTATCTCCTTCTTCTTGGCAGCCAAGCCCAGCAAAAGAATGGCACACAGCAGTTGCTGCCCAAGCCTGGGTGCTCCTGGTGGTCCTGCACGATCGGCTGTGCAGTAGGGTTGTCGTGGGGAGAACCCTCCCTGGCCTCTCCTTGCACAGGCTCCACGCTGTCAGTGAGGCTCACCTCACAAAGATCTTTGGAGAGAGGGAGGCGGGGATCTGAGCTCAGTGAGAGCCCCCCTGCTCCTGCCTGCCCACCCCGCCTGAGGGCTCTACTCACCACCATGCTTGTGGGCAGCCCCAAGCTCCTGGGGGGCTGGGGCTCCTGGACTGGGCTCATGAGCAGGGTTCTGGGCAGTCACCAAGAATTTGCTGTGTCCCTTGTAGTCGCCACCAGCTGCAACACCATCTCCTGCAGCTCCAGCAGCTTCACCTGGAGGGAGGGGTGCTCAGCTGTCACGCTGCTGCCAGCGCTCACCGTCACAGCCACCCCCACCCCCGCAGAGATGTTGCACACTCTACCTTCATCTCCTCCCTGTCCAGGGCCAGCCTGATGGTGTCCTCCTCCCGGTGCTGCATCTTTGGCACTGCCCCCTGGCTTTGTTATAGGGTGATAAACTTTCCTGCGGGAGGACAGGGCTCAGACGCTGGGGCCCCTCCAACAGCCCTGCAGCTCCCCCTGCCATGCCCTGGCCTCCCACTCACTGATGGCATCTCTCTCTGTAGTACTGGAAGAATCCAAGTTCTTCTTTCTCCACCAGCTCACTCAGGTCTGCCTTCTCCTCCAGGTGGTCCATAAAGCCGCTCTGGAGCCAAAATAATGGGGTCACATCTCGCCAGCGACCTGCCCTCAGGTGGCATTTTCAAGTCATGGAGAAGGCGGAGGTGAGTTCCGGCATGGGCCAGCTTCTCCGTGACTTCCTGCAGGGCCCGGTGGGTCTCCCCACTCACAGACTCGCCCCCAGGCCCTGGGGCTCCAGGGCCTCTGGCTGCCTCTGGCTCCTTCTGGGCCGAGGCCACCGGGTGAGCCAGGCGCTGGCAGCACACCCTCTGCTCTTTCACCTGCTCTTGTAACTGTGCCTGCTTCTCCTGGGCACTAGCTCCAGCGGACTTGAAAAATGCCACCTGAGGGCAAGATGTGAGCATTCTTGCAGGGGCATACACAGAACAAATGGGGCAGAGAGGTGGAGCGCAGCCCCTTCCCTTGGGGCCCCAGAGACTGCACATGTTGGTCACAGGTGAAATGGTGTCTGACCACTGGCTCCCAGAAGGGGTGAGGGTCCAGAGAAATCAGAAGGCAGGGAAACGAAGAGCATAAAGGGGTCTTGGAGGGACCACAGAGGAAGGAGGCAAAATGGGTTCAGGTGGAGTCAGGCTCACCATGGCCTCCCTGCTCTCCAGGTCCTGTGGGATGCTAGGAATGGGCCGAGGTGCCTCCTCCCCCTCACTGTCCAGATGTCCTCCTCCATCTCCTGGGGGTGGGGGTGGTGGCCAGAGGGGTCCTCAGACAACTCAACAAGGGAAGTATTGTGGGCCCACCTCTGCCTCCACCCTCATTGTGTAACCCTGAGCCAGGCCCTCCCCAGAGAGGAATGAGCTGCTGTTATTTATTTTTACTTTGAAGAACCAAGATCTTGCTATACTGCCCAGGCACATTCCCACTACTGGTCGGTGCGGGAGTTCTGACCTGCTCCCTTTCTGACCTCGGCCAGTTCAGCCATCCTTAGGCAACTTGGTGGCCCCCCGCTCACAGGAGGTCACCATATTGATGCTGAACTTAGTGCAGGCACCCGGTTAGTATAATGACCAGCTGTTCTAAAGGTCTCTTCCAACTCCTGAATACTATGCTGCTAGCAGTCCCCCCTTCCTCCTGGGGCTCTCTCCTCTTCCTCTGAGCGGTCTCCCGTACCTTCCCCAGGGAGAGCCATGAGGCTCAACTGGGCCGTTAGCTGCTGGTTCTGCTGGCTGGCAGCTTCCAGACGCTCCTAAGGGGCCAGGAAAGAGTGAGAAGGCACAGAGTTTGCCAGGTCGTCCCCCTCACAGCCCCATCCTCGGCAGCTCCCTCCCCTGGGTCTCCTGCAACTTTTGGCAGGCCATCTCGGCCACCGCTTTGCCCCAAGCTTCCTGCTGCTGCAACTGGTTCATTAGCTGGGTCTGCTGCAGTCACTGCCTGTACAGCGCCTCCTTCTCACAGGTCAGCTGCTGATAGGCGGCCACCTGCTGCTGATAGGTGGCCACGTACTGCTGCAGGTGACCCAGGTAATGGTCTGGCTGCTGCTGCAGACTCTGAGCCTCTTGGCTCTTCAGCTCCACCTGCAGGAAGACCCTGGGTGTGAGGGCACGTGGTGGCTGGTTTGCAGATTCTGGGCCCATTAATAGGGTAGCGAGGGCACTGTGGGGCTCTGTCGCCTGCCCAGGCCCCTGGCCCCTTACTTCAGGCCTAAGTGACTGCCTTGCTTTCCTAGAACCCCATGCCTCCTTCCCCAGCCTCAAATCTCATGTCCTCTTCCCACCATTTCAACTGTAGGCCACAGAATGGTAGAAAAGTATGGGAGCCAACCACCATCTGCTAAATGTGCTACAGGCCTAATGCTTCCCATGTATTATCTCATTTAATCCTCAGCACCTCTGTAAGGAAAATGCTAACTTCCTTTTGAAGTTAAAGAAACAGAGACCTAGAGATGCGAAGTACTTGAATGGTGACCAGTGGAACTGAGGCTGGAATCCAGTTTTAATCTAAGGAGTCTTTTTGTTTTGTTTTGAGACAGAGTGTCACTCTGTGGCCCAGGCAGGAGTGCAGTGGTGCAATCTCAGCTCACTGCAACCTCCACCTCCTGGGCTCAAGCAATTCTCGTGCCTCAGCCTCCTGAGTAGGTGGGATTACAGGCATGCGCCACCACCATGCCCCACTAATTTTTCTTTCTTTTTTTGTTTTTTGTTTTTGTAATTTTAGTAGAGATGAGGTTTTACCATGTTGGCCAGGCTGATCTCAAACTCCAAACCTCAAGTGATTCTCCTGCCTCAGCCTCCCAAAGTGTTGGCACTATAGGCGTAAGCCACCGCATCTGGCATAAGAAGACTGTTATACCACTCTGTCTCTTCCCCTGTGATTGGGGGGGCTCCATGTCTCTAGCTGGAATGATGATGTCCAGACCTGGGAGGAGCCCAGGGCTACCCACCTCTAAAATCAGAGGGCAGGAAGCAAGAAACAGCCACAGGACTGCCCTGGAGGGTGCTGGGGTCACCTGCCCCCGGGCTGGAGCTACCGCTGGCCTGGCACCTCCCCTCCCCAGAGGCTGGTGCCCACCCACCTCCCAGACCTTCTTGGATGGGGTGGAGGTTACCGTCTCCTTCACCTTGCCTAGCTTCTCCTGCAGCTCCTTTACTTGCTGCTCCAACTGTAGTACGCTCTTGTTCTCATTGTTCTGGACAGAGAGAAGCAATCAGCAGCCACCCACTGCAGCTGGAGACCCCAGAACTTGGTGACTGCCTCCCATGGCACCGGGAAGGGTGGAGGCAGGTTAGAAAAATCATCCCCTGTCTCCCACAGCCACCAGAGCAGGGCTCTGGCTCACAGGTGCCTTTAGGAGTAACATTTCACTTGAGGGCTACACTGCCCCATTTTATAGGTGGGGAAACAAAGGCCTGGAGGGCTAGGGAGGAGGGCAGGCTCCCCAGCTGGGGCAACGCACCAGCTCCTTGAAGCTGTTCTGTGGCTCGGCCAGCTGCTGAAGCCTCTCCTCCTGCTCTGGAAGCCTCTCCTGCTGCTCCTGAAGCCTCTCCTCCTGCTCCCGAAGCCTCTCCTTTTGCCCCTCATTCAGGAGACTTATGCGCTGATTGTACTCCACCTGGGCCTGGAGCTCTCCTGCCACTCTCTCTAGTTCCTTCCTCAGGTGCTGCAGCTCCACCTCAGAGGGCACTGCTGGGGGCTCCGGGGGCAGAGGTTCAGCTGAGAAAGGAAGCAGACAATAAGAGCCTCTGGATTCCAAAAAAAAAAAAAAAAAAGAAAAGAAAAGAAAAAACCCTCCTCTTGGCGCACAGCTCCTCTCCGGCTCCTCAAACTTAGCCTCACTGCTAATGATTCCTCGCACCCAGATGGTAGCCAGTCTTCCAAAGCACTTTCAGAGAAAGAGCACTGCGGGTGGCTGACAACGGGCCCTCTTTGCTGATGGGGACACTGAGGCTCATTGAGATGACAAGACTTGCCGTCTCCTGGCACAGACCTCTTTCCCTCTGCCTCAAAGCCCTTCCATCCACCCACCTCGCTGGGGCACTCCAAGCCACCCTCACAGCCCTCTGATGCCAGTCCTGCTGCCAGGTCACGCCAGCCCCATCTTACCCATCTGGTGTTTGAGTTTGGACAAGCTCCTCTCCAGCTTCTCTACCCGATATTTATCATGCTTCTTCTCCTTCTTCAACGAGCAAACCTGCCCAAAGCACAGGGGGAAAGGGCCCTGGAGAGAGGGGCTGGAGGCTGGACATGCTACCATCTCCCTCTCTGCCCCCACCTCCACAAAGCCCAGTCCCAGGACCACCTCTGGCTCTACTATTCCCATTTTACAGGTGCCCAGAAAGATCCAGTGACCTATCTAATGTGGGGGGGCTGAAGGGTCAGATCTCACCTCCTGCGACATTTTTCTCATCCTCTGCTGCCACCGGGCCCTCTCTCCTTTTAGATGTTCAGCATATTCATCCCTCTCTAGCTGGACTTCTTTAAGTGACTCCTTCAACTGCAAGAATGGGCACAGAAATTAGGAAGGGCTGTCACTGGTCCTCACCTGCTCCTGGTTACCTGGGGTCATCTTCCTTCCACATCCCTCCCTCTGAACACCTCACCTGTGTCAGCTGCGCTTTCAGCAGTGCCTGCTCCCGCATGGACTGCTCTAACTTCCACTCCATACGTGCTTTACTGCGGCTGGAGAACTGCTGAAGAGTGAGAAGTTTCAATCTGGTGAGGCCGGGCCATTCCACACAGTGCCCCTTAAAAGGGCCAGGGCTAGGCCCAATATACAACTCGGTCAGTAAAGATCAAGGCATTTCCAAGCCCGTGGTTTGGTTTTTAAAGAACTCAGTAAAGTTGGAAGGGACAGGGAAAGAGATCGAATTTATAGCTGGCTAACAGAGGCCCAGAGAGATCAGATAATATTGCTATTGTTATTACTGTTATTATTACCACTGTTTGAACTTTTATGGAGTGCTTCACCAGATACCATGCTAGCAATCCCATTTAATCCTCGCAACTACCATGGGAGACAGTTACTATGATGACCTCTATTGTGTAGATGAAAAAACATGGAGTATTTGAGGTTAAGTGCTTGCCTAAGATCACTTAGGCAGAGCTGGGATTTAAACACCCAGATCTATCCAATTCTCTAAGCCCATTTTTCTTGCTGGGGGTGGGGGCACAGCTAGGAAGGGGAAAATTAATCTTTTGTTCACTTTTTGAAAGGATAATACATTCACATAGTCCCAAACTCAGAAGGTACAGAAGGGAAGTATCTCCCAGCCACCCTGTTGCTCTCTCCTGAGTTTTTATGAACACTTGCAAACATATTTTATGTATATTATCATAATATGTACACACACACACACGTTTCCTCTCTCTACAGAAATGGTAACATACTAAAGGTACTCTTCTGTACCTTCACAGTACAAGTACCCAATACCCACTGAGGACTTGGCCAAGACCACAGCCAGGTAAAGGCATGGCAGGCACTTGGCCTCCAAGCTCTACGTCCTGTGCTCTCTCCCCAGAGTGCCCCCCAACTCACCCACAGCAGCTGACTCAGTCCCAAGCTGCCGCTAACAACCATACAAAAAAGCAGTGAGAAATGGCCATGCTGCCTTCTGGGCAGGACACTCCATCCTGCAGAAGGGACCTTTAGGCTCACTCCTCTGTCTGCGAAGCCAGGCTCCCAGGGGACGGGGCAGGTGGTTGGACTCACCCTCTCCGCCTTCTTCTTCTGTGTGGCGGTGACAGCAGAGAGAGCCCGCTCTAACTCTCCTTTACGCTGCAATGAATGTTGCAGACGGACGGCCAGATCCTTGGACTCTTCTGTAATGAGAGAGTTGAGATGGGGCCCAAAGGACTCCCCCTGAAGACCTGTCAAAGTGCCAGGTTGAAGGATGACAGGGTACCCAGATTCCCACCTTCAAAGTATCTGAGAGAACGTTTCGTGTGGTACAGGTCCGTATTTAGTTTCCCTTTCTGTATGTTCAATCTCTGGATTTGAACCTTTGGGAGAAAAGCCAAGCAAGTGCTGAAAGAGAAGGAAAGAAACATTCTCCGGAGGACAGGAGAAAACTGCACACCGTCCACTCACCTCTAGCTCCCTTTCGGCTTTCTGTTTCTCGTTGTTTGCTTTCTTTTCCTGTAGGAAGAGGAAGACAGAGATCTAACCAGGCAGAGGCAGAGATGGTACTGCAAGAGACATGTCCCCAGAATGCCACCACTGCCCCTGCCCCGGGACAGGCCCACCCATGGGACCGGGTTATCAGGGACCCTGTGGGGGATGGGGTGGACTCTGGGGGGTGAGCCTTCTTCCCCAGGCTGGGAGTGGGTGAGACGAGACTCGGGGCCTCTACATCTGAGTGTCCCCCAAACCGAGCAGTCATGTCGCGAGCAAACAAAGAAATCATGTTACTTCTTCCAGCTGATGTTCCACTTGTTTATTCTGTTGTTTCTGTGGGGAGAGTCACATTAAGGTGATGGAGGGTGGCCCCCTCAACTCTATTCCCCAGAGCAGGAAGTGGTAGGCAGGGGCCAGGAATGGATTTTAAAGGCAAAGTTCTCAGACCCAGTGGGAACTCGAACTGGTAAACTCTCCTCAAGCTCCCAAGGACAGAGGATTTGGGTCTTTGTTGGCTTTTGTCCACAGCCACAGAACTCAAGGTCTGAATCTGGAATCTCTTGACAGGACAGTAACATAAACCTCTAGAGATGGAGTTTGAGAAAGGCCCCCCCTTCTGCCAGCTTGTGATTTAGAAAAGTGCATTCATTCAATAAACATTTACTGAGCACGTACGGGCCAAGTACGGTTCTTCACAGAAGATTTAGGGCGGAAAAGGACAGACAGGAGCCTTTGGCCCTGAGGTTTCCATTCTAGGAGGCCTTTAAATCTCAGACTCGAGAGCTAACAGAGACCTTTGATACTCACTACTTCCTCTGGAAACATGAGCCCAAAAAGGAGAGGTGGCTTGTCCAGAATCAAAGAGCAAATTAGGGACTGAGTCATGGCAGAAATACGGGGCCCCTGACAACCAGTCAGGCTAGCACTTCCCCAAGAGGCAACAATCCCAGGGCGTGTGTAGCAAGGACTCGAGCAGGGGCGTCTGGAGAGGGGAGAGTCAGCAAACAGGGCAGCAAAAAAAGAGCCATGCTGCATGCTCCGGGGTCCCTCCAGGTGAGGCCTGGGCGCCCCAGCTCCCTATTCGCCCTTGGCACCAGGGGCCGCCGTCCCCTTTCTTCAGGGCCCCAAGGGGAAACTAGAGCCCAGGATTGGCAGCGTGGAATCAGGGGACCCCAGTGGACTCTTACCAAAGATTTGATGGTGTTCTTCAGTTGACTGACTTTTACGGACCTCGAGTCTGGGACTACTGCTAGTTCTTGGCACGGGCTCTGAGGCGCATGCAGAGAGGAGGAGGTGGAGGAGGAGTGGGGGGAGAGGTAGAGAGAGCAATCATTAGGGCTGGGGTGTGTGTGGACTGTCTCAGCTGGCAGAGGGGCACCCCGTCCCACCTGGAGGAGGAGGTTGGAGGGCTGGCCTGCAGGGTCACTGCACCTCTGCCCAGAGCCTCTTACCTCCAGATCCTTCAGGGTAGCAGATGATGTAGGGCTCTCCCCGTGGATACCTGTTGCTGACTACAAGAGATGAGAGTGCACATGAAGATGTTCTGTCCCACTCAGTATCTAAGCCCTCTGACTTCTTTTCTTCCCCATCAACTGGCACAATTTTCTTTTCTGCCTATCTTGGACCCTTTGTCCCATAACTCCTTTGTGCCAACTTCTCTCATGGTTCTTATCTCCCCACCACAGCACCCTGTGGCCCTTTCAGTGACTCCTGTGCCAAGTGACTGTTCTCATTGTCCTGGCTTCCCCTTGAGACTGGGGATGAGGAAAATCGAACAGCAATGACCATATCCTGGGTGTTCTGGGTGTTTACAGCAGGCCATGTACTAGGGATTAACATAAAAACAACAATAACAAATCTCATTTAAACTTCACAAATGGAAGTGAAACAATACCACCTCTATTATACAGATGTGAAAAGAGAGGCCCGATGAGGTCTAGCAACTTGCCCTAATTCATATCCCTAGCAGACAAAGAGGCAGGATTCAAACCCAGAATTCTTCACAGGTACCCAACAGTCCATCCACAATCTTAACAATTACCCTCTAGTGCCCCTTGGGTCCCCTGTCCCCAGGAACCTAGTCAGCCAAGACTCACATCTCCAGGTGAGTGGCAACCACCAGAAGTGGCTGTCTCATGGATGCTGCCATTT
This sequence comes from Homo sapiens, assembly GCF_000001405.40. Classification (NCBI taxonomy): domain Eukaryota; kingdom Metazoa; phylum Chordata; class Mammalia; order Primates; family Hominidae; genus Homo; species Homo sapiens. Next base: position 68,497 of record NW_003315943.1, on the reverse strand, counting down.
GTTTTCCTGTTCCTCTTGGCTCCTGCTGGAACACCAGGGCTGTTTCTCTGCCAATATTCTTTTAACTGTCAGAAACAAGAGCAGTAATACTCATGAGAACTATCAGCCCCTGCAGCCACATCCTCCTTTACAGTTTTTATAAAATACTCTTATACACCATCTGATTTAATGATACCAACAACTGTACAAGGTGTTGTCACAATCATTTAGTGACTCAAAGAGATTGATATCATGGCTAGAAAAAAAAAGAAGAAAAGAAAAAGGCGACAGACGAACTTTGAAACTCAGTCTTCTGACTCCAAACTCTGGGGTTTTACCAAGAATCAGCAGCTGCCAGGGACCAAAACCAGAGGCAGAGGTAGAAAAGTAAACATTAAGTAGGCAGGAACTGTATGCCATGTGGTTTAGTCATACATCCTCACACGTCTGTTAGTGTGAAGAAGTGCACCAGTACCTCTCAAACTCTTATATCAATGTGTCCTCATGGCAGAAGGCAGCCTTTCTGTTAAATCTGGGAATTTATCAGAAAGAGGACAACCCAAGCCTCATTTCAGAGAGAAGTCTGGTATACTCTTAGAAACCTATGTGACTGTCATCCCTAAGTACATTAATGTTTTTTCTCTTGATCTCAAGAGAATCAATGGAAACTGATGCTTCAGAAAGATGTCCCATATGTATCCTGTGGCACTCAAAGTACCCCAGGTTTACATAATATGAGGAAGATTCAAGCTGTCAAGTTCAGTTTCCCAAGATCTATTCCACAGAAGATGAGCAAATCTCACTTCACAGACCACTGGCTGAAGGGCAGTCTGGTCCCAGAACCATGGAGAATTAGAATGTGAGGTGGAGAACTCACAAAAAATTTGTTAAAATCTCTCTGGAAAGTAGAAGCCTGGGAGAAAACCAAACCAAGTCAAACCCATTCTCCAGTTGCCATCCAGAGGTACTGTCAATGTTTTGAGCTCACAGGGGAAGTGTAGGCTTTTCCCGCTGTCAATGTTTATGTTAAGGGAGTGAGGCAGCCTGAAACCTCTTGCTCCTAGGTCCCAATCTCCATTCCCCTTCCAGCTGGAAATTTGTGCTGTGACAAGAGGAACCAGAAATGGGGTGGCAATGCTTAGGGGACTGGGTCATAAGATCAAAGGCCAGTCTTGCAGTAATGACAGTTACTGGATGGACCGTGACATCACTACATTCCACTCTTCCTGGTGAGGGGGAGGGACCACATCAGCATGATGTCCGAGTCACCGCTCCATGATAGGGGAGGGAAAAACAGAGCTGGGACCCAGGTCCTTGGAGACACCAGTGCACACAGCCTAGGGAGGTCCACCTTGAGGCAGCAGGAGGGAAGGGAAGAGTCAGCAGCAGGGAGCCCCAGGATTCACCAGCCTAAAGTCACCCAGGGATGACTGGTGAGGGTGGGGTCTGGGGCTGTGGGACCCAGGTCCTTGGAGATGTGAGCCCAAAAAGCCCTGGGAGGTCAAGCTTGGGGTGGCAGGAGATGGGGGCCCAGTAAAGGAGCGGGGAGCCCCAGGATTCACCTGCCCAAAGTCACCCTGGGGTGATTGGTGAGGGCAGAGACTGGGCTGCTTGCTGAAGGGGTGGGGCTGACTGACAAAACTTTGGTGGGGGTAGCCCAGAGGCACCGGTGTGGGGGTCCCAGTCCGGTGAACCTCGGGAGTGGTATGGACTCTGGCAGCAGTCTTGTCGTTGGAGAGGATCTATGGCTGGGTTGGGGGTCCGTGACCTGGTGTGTTTTTACCTTTCTCTTGGCTGCTGCCAATTTACTTTGTCGAGTTTCTTCTGCCATCGCAGGGTGGGGAGGGAGGCGGGCTTGGGGCCACATCAGCAAAATCCCACCAAGCACTGATCAACACCTCCAGTCACCTACCAGGTAGCTGTGCGACTGAGCCAGAGGAGGCGTAACCAGGGATGCAGTAGAAGGCAGAATAGGGGCGTGGCCTTAATGCTCCAAGCCCATTGGTTAATGAGAAAGATGAAAGGGAAAGGGGGCGTGGCCAGGCATCATGTGTCCAGAGGGACCTTTGGCTCACAAGGAAAGCTGCCCAGGCAACCACTGTCCCCACCCACCCTAAGAGAGGGGAGAGGCCGCCAACTCTGGGAGAGGGGCAGGGCCGGCTTTTGCTTTAAAAGCTTTTAAAAATATATATATGTGTATACTTTATATATATGTGTGTCTGTGTGTGTGTACCTGTGTGTTCCTCCAGAGCTGTCTTCATGATCCAGCTTCTATGCAAGGTCTATGATTTTGGCCTATATTTTTCATAGAGTACAAAAATTACCAGTATTACCTTAACCGAGATACAGATCCTATGAAAATGGAAAATCCATAGCATGCTTGATGATTACTGAAGCAGACTATATTATCCAACATTCCAATAAGATAAAATAATCACAATGACTTCTCTTTTTTGGAAAAATGTTTCTCTTATTCTCCTACGTTATTGTGAAGACTTTTTTTCTTAAACAAGAAACATGTGTAATATTTGTAAAAACACAAAGCTTTTGGGCCGGGTGCAGTGGCTTATGCGTATAATTCCAGCACTTTAGGAGCCTGAGGCTGGCGGATCATGAGGTCAGGAGATTGAGACCATCCTGACTAAAAAGGTGAAACCACATCTCTACTAAAAATACAAAAAATTAGCCAGGCGTGGTGGTGGGTGCCTGTAGTCCCAGCTACTTGGGAAGCTGAGGCAGGAGAATGGCGTGAACCCAGGAGGTGGAGCTTGCAGTGAGCTCAGATCGTGCCACTGCACTCGAGCCTGGGCTACAGAGCGAGACTCCTTCTCAAAATAAATAAATAAATAAATAAATAAAACTTCTATTTCTTTCACTTTCTAATATAATTTTAATATCTCCTCCTGGGATTTCACTAAGACACATTTTGGACCTCATTCTGATCTTCCTCTCCCCTCCAAGCCCACCAACTTCTGCCCTATCATCCATCCTCATGTCTCTCTGTGTGACATGCTGACTTACTTTTTGGAGAGAATCGCCTAAACAATTAATTCTTTCTTCTCGTGTCTAATCCATCCACTAGTTTCTTATTTCAACAATTACATTTTTATTTCCTTATTTCATTTTATTCTGAGACTGAGTCTCATTCTGTCACACAGGCTGAATTGCAGTGGTACGAACCTGCAGACTCGGCCTCCTGGGCTCAAGTGATCCTCCCACCTCAGCCTCTTGAGTAGCTGGGACTATAGGCAGGTGCCCCATACCCAGCTAATACCATACCCACACAGCAGAGACATAAAAGATTTCCATCCTCAAAGAAGGTTCCATTGAACAGCACTGCTCTAATTCAATAAAAAATACCACTGAGCACAACATAGTAATAGAAAAGATTGAAGAGGCAGTGCTGATACTTAAAAACCTGGTATTTTCAGCCAGGCATGGTGGCTCATGCCTGTAATCCTGGCACTTTGGGAGGCTGAGGTGGGAAGATCGCTTAAGCCCAGGAGTTCTAGACCAGCTTGGGCAACATGGTGAAACCCTGTCTCTACAAAAAATACAAAAAATTAGCTGGGCATGGTGGCATGTGCCTGTAGTCCCAGCTACTTGGGAGGCTGAGGTGGGAGATCACCCGAGCCTGGGAGGTCAAGGCTGCAATGAGGTGAGATGGCACCACCACACTCCAGCCTGGGTGACAGAGTGAGACCCTGTCTCAAAAACAAAAAACAAAAAACAAAACAAAAACACCTGATATTTATTTTTAAGTACACTATTTTCAAACATTCAGAAGTTATTTCATCCTACCTTCATGGTTTCCATTCTATGCCTGGTTTAGAATTGGGATCTGATAAAATAAACGTGTTCAACAGAACCACTTCTCATGGCTGTATAACAGATGATCAATATGTATTTGCTGAGGAAATTATACAATTTTCTTAATTTTTTTTAACAAAAATTGTGGTTTCAAGGGACCAAACTTGAATACTACACCTTCATGTTCTAAGAATCAGGGGACTTATATAAAACCTCAGTTGCCTGATAAGGACTACATCAAAGTGAAAAGCCATGGGAAAGAACTAGAAAGTATACTTTTGACCCTAGTTCTGTAAAGTTTCCTTATGCCACAGGTAATACACATCGCAATTCCTGCCAAATTCTTTCCCTCACCTCTGTTTATGGTCTCGATTCCATAAATAGGAGAAGGGCATGAATTTGCTTTAGTTAGATAGACAGATAGATGGATAGAGAGATAGATGGATGGATGGATGGATGGATAGATAGATAGACAGAGATAAAGACAGAGACAAAGATGGAGACAGAGATGGACATAGAGACAGATTTGCAGAAGATAAGTTCTAGGTGAACTAGTGTCAACATTAAAGTGGTATGCCTACATCTAACTATTCTGGAGAGAAAAACATACCTCAAAGAAATTGACTTAAATATATACAGAGAAAAAGTTTAAGCTGAAAGCTACTGCCTTTTTATATGAGACACTTTAGGAAATTACTTGGGGGGCAAGAGAGAAAATGGGTGGACATAGCTCAGAGGTTACACAGTAGCAGATATGTAGGATGAACAAGCCTAGAAATATAATGTACAACGCGAGAAATATAGGTAATAAAATTGTGCTGTATTTGGGATTCACGCTAAATGAGATTTTAAGCTCCTCTTGCCACCAAACAAAAAGAAAACGGGTAACTATCTGAGTTGAAGGATACGTTAATTTGCTTCACTGTAGTAATTTTTTTTAACCATCTATATGCATCCCATAAAATCATGTTGTATACCTTAAATACACAGAATACAATTTATTTAACATAAAAAACTACTCCAATATTTTCTGCATTTTTAATATGCTCACCCAAAGAAAGCATTAATTTGCATCTTTGATGTTAAACAGATAGCCTAATCAAGTCACTATCAAGATCAAGACTAAAAGTTACAGCTTTTTTCTTTTGATGCCTTTCAGATATATCTATTTATATATAAAAATATATATACACACACACATACATACACACACACACACACACATATATATGTAGTTATGTGTGTGTGTATATATAGTTACAGTTTTGGCCAGGTGCAATGGCTGACACCTGTAATCTCAGCCCTTTGGGAGACCAAGGCTGAAGGCTTGCTTGAGGCCAGGAGTTTGAGACCAGCCTGGGCAACGAAGCAAGACCCTATCTCTACAATTTTTTTTTTTTAACAAAATTAGCCAGGGATGATGGCATGCACTTGTAGTCCCAGATACTTGGGAGGCTGAGGCGGAGGATCCCTTGAGCCCAGGAGTTCAAAGCTGCAATGGGCTGTTACTGTGCCACTGGATCCCAGTCTGAGCAACAGAGCAAGACTTTGTCTCAAAAACAAAATTTATAATTAAAGATAAATAGTTATAGTTTTATGAACCTTGACTGCAACTGAGGGAAAATCCCGTAATTGGCAAAATGAATTCTGCCTGCTTGCAAAACTTCTGACTAATACGGAATGAATAATAGGAAGCCCATATTAGAGGATCCACATCAGTTAAAAAGTTTCCAAATAAGAGTGACTCTGAGTTCTGCAGAGTGAAAAGATTGGGTTCAAACCAAACACTTGCAAGATCTTGAGTAAGATACTTAATCCCTCTGTGACTCACTGTTCTCAAATGTAAGTGAAGATAATTTGTAACTCAAAAAAAATGAAAAAGTTTTCTCTAAGATTGCAAATCCTAAGGATAATTTCATTTTAATATCAGTTATTTAGTCTGGATACACCATAATGCAGACTAATTTTCCCTCTGCTTAAAGACCACACAAAAACATTACCAATAAAATTTACTTGTGTATCAACTTTTACTCCTGAGACTTCATCGTTTGTTTGGTTAAAAAAAAAAAAAAAAAAAAAAAGCGCACTAGACCGGGCACAGTGGCCCATGTCTGTGATCTCACTTACGGAGGCCAAGGCAGGTGGATGAGTTTGAGAACAACCTGGGCAACATGGAAAAACCCCGTCTCTACAAAAAAAAAATATAAAAATTAGTCAGGTGTGGTGGCACATAACTGTGGTCCCAGCTACTCCAGAGAGTGAGGCGGGAGGATTGCTTGAGCCCACGCAGAGGTTGCAGTGAACCAAGATGGCACCACTGCACTCCAGCCTGGGTGACAGAGCAAGACCCTGTCTCAAAAAAAAAAAAAAATCACTATAAAATTGAAATTCACAACAAAATGTGCATACTTAACCTTCTTTTTATTTATTTATTTATTTTTAATATTTTGAGACAACATCTTGCTATGTTGCCTAGGCTGGTCTTGAACTCCTGGGTTCAAACCATCCTCCAGTCTTGACTTCCCAAGTACTGGGACTACAGGTGTGAGCCACCAGCCCCGCCAGCCCTGTTACACTATTCTTGGCCCCTCAAGTGACTGTATGAATTTTAGGATCAGCCTCTCGAGTTCCACAAAAAAATTCTATTGGGATTTGTGTAGGAATTTCTTGAATTTATAGATTAATTTGTTGAGAAGTAGTATGTTTATAGCATTGAGTCCTACGATTCATAATATATATGGCATGTATTTCAGTTTAGTCAGTTCTTCCTTTAAGTCCCTGGGTAATTTTTATATTTGTCTTAGTCCCTTCATAGTGCTATAACAAAACACCTGAGACTGGGTAATTTACACAGAGCAGAAGTTTATTTTCTCAGTTCTGGAGGTTGGGAAGAACAAGATCAAGACTCCAGCAGACACAGTGTCTAGTGAGGGCCTGGTCTCTGCTTCCAAGATGGTACGTTGAATGCTGCTTCCTCTGGAGCAGGCAAATGCTATGTTCTCATGAGGCAGAAGGGACAGATTTACCACCACCCACAAGCCCTTTTATAAGGAAGGCACTAATCTCATGCATGAGGGCTCACCCTATGTCTTAATCACTTCTTAAAGGCCCCACTTCTTAGTACTATCATCTTGGGAATTAAGTTTTAATACATGAATTTTGGGAGACACATTCAGGCTATGGCAATACTCTTCATGAAAGGCCTTGTGTATACTTTGCTAGATATATTCTCAGGGTTTTGTTGCTATTGTGAATAGAATCTCTTTTTTTTTTTTTTTTTTGCCACGGAGTCTGGCTCCTTTGCTCAGGCTGGAGTGCAGTGGCGCGATCTCGGCTCACTTCAAGCTCCGCCCCTCCAGGTTTAAGCAGCCTGTTGCCCAGGCTGCAATGCAGTAGCATAGTCATAGTTCAATACAGCCTCAAACTCCTGGGCCCAAATGATTCTCTAAGCTAATATTTTTAATTTTTTAGAGATGGAGTTTCATTCAAGGATCACTAAAGGCCAGTGATCCTCCCGCCTCAGCTTCTGAAATTGCTGGGATTACAGGTGTGATTGAGCCATGGAGCCTGGCCAGACATGGGCTATTGATTCTCGCTGTTACTCTTTTCCCTTTCCTTCTAATCCTTGTATTGGGAAGAAAACAGTATGGAAATTTTATTTCTTCATTTTATTGATACGTAGATCTCTGCTTAGAAGACAATTTTAGTTTTAAATTATAAATGTTTTGTTCATTATTCATAGAAAACTAGATTTGCCATGGGATATTTATAAGTGTTGCACGAATGAAGGGTTTTCTAGTCAAATAAGTTGAAACACATTACGTTAAACAAACTTGGACAGTTTTGTTTCTGGTCAATTTTAGAGTTCTAAATTATGATTCTACTCAAGAGGATATTGTATGCGGTATTTTCAAACCAACTCATCCTGCGTCAGGTTGTGGTTACACTTTGGGAGAGGAAGCTATAATCTTATACTGGGACTGTAATGAATGTATTAAAGTAATTTTCGTAGCTTTCTCTTTTTGGAGTTACCTGAGAAATTATGACACCCTTTTCCAAACAGGCCAAGCTGCTTTGCAAACACGATTTCCATAATTTTAACAATGGTGAGGCCAGGCACGGTGGCTCATACCTGTAATTCCTTCCAGCACTTTGGGAAGCCTAGGCAGGAGGATCACTTAAGCCAGGAGTTCAATACCAGCCTGGGCAACATGGCAAAAACTCATCTCTACAAAAAATACAAATATTAGCCAGGCGTGGTGGCACACACCTATAGTCTCAGCTACTCAGAGGTTGAGGTGGGAAAATTGCTTCAGCTCAGGAGCTCGAGGCTGCAGTGAACGGTGATCACGCCACTGCACTCCAGCCTGGGTGACAGAGCAAGACCCTGTCTCAAAAACAAACAAAACAAAACACAAACCAAGGGTGAGAGAGATGTTAGATGTTTTTGTCCTTGTTACAGATGTAAATGCTCAGTTGGAAAGAGGGAAGTATTTAGAGTGAAAAACTTTCGGTGGAACACACACAAAAATAGGAAGATCAGGTATAACTGTTCCAAAAAAAAGAGTATGGCAGTATAGAAGAAAAGGTCTCCATGAAAATGCAGAAGAACAATTTCACAGCTGGTGCTGGCATTTCAGAGACCTTGAGCTGGGAATCAAAAGATGGGAATTTCAGTCTCGGATGTGCCACTCCTTAGAGGTTTAATATCTACTAAACCCGGCGGGCTCCACTTGGTGGTGTTTGCTATTTAAAAAAACAAAAACATGTGGCAATGATCTTCCACGTGATTCTGACTTGAGCCCCACCCGAGTCTGCAGACTTACCCTTCCACTGCTTTGCCCTTCAAGTTTGTGCCCATTAGCAAAGAGAAATTTTCTCTTTGGGATCACTGCTGTGTTGATCTCAGGAATATTTGGCGTTGAATTTAACATATTTTTCATATGTGTGTGCAATAGGGAGGCTGAGAAACTTGTCTTTTTTTTAAGGTGTTCATTTTTGGGGTACAGGTAGCAGCCTGCTCTACAATCCACACAGAAGCTGGAAATAGCCTCTAGAGAATTTCCACTTTTAGAGAAGATAAATTTATACATTTGTATCTAATCAACATTTTTTAGCTAACATAGTAGTCTAATTATACTATGTATAATTATGGGTACTGAAATGACACCTGGCATATGCTGTATGCTGTGTTATATATACATATATATTTACACATATACATATATATTACACATATACATATATATTTACACACATATATTTACACATATACATATATTTACATATTTTACATTTACATTTTACATTTATTTTACATTTTACATTTATTTTACATTTTACATTTATTTTACATTTTACATTTACATTTGACATTCTACATTTATTTTACATTTACATATTTTACATTTACAAATATTTACATATTTTACATTTATATATATACATATATTTACATACATATATTTACATACATATTTTTCCATACATATTTACATGTGTATATATTTACATACATTCACATACATATTTACATATATACTTACATACATACATATTTACATAATATTTACATACACATATTACATACATATATGTACACATATACATATATTTACACATATACATATACTATGTATAATTATACTATGTATAATCATGGGTACTGAAATGACACCTGGCATATGCTGTATTTAAAAATGTGAGGTTCAGTGAGAACACATGGACACAGGAAGGGAAACAACACATACTGGGGCCTGTCAGGGCGGGTGGGGGAGGAGCATCAGGAAAAATAGCTAATGCGTGCTGGGCTTAACACTGAGGTGATGAGTTGATAGGTGGACCAAACCACCATGGCACACGTTTCCCTACGTAACACTCCTGCACATGTACCCTAGAACTTAAAACAAAATTTTAAAAATAATAAAAAATAAAAATTTGAAATTCAGCACATGAACTGTTGGTTTTATTATTCATATTTTCTTAATTCAGAAATTATTTTCTGAACTATGGTTTATTCGATAATTTTGACGTAACAATTTTTTAAGAGGAAATTTAAGTTTTACTTTTTAATTGGGGCTCTTGGTTCTTTTTAAGAAAGACAGAGATAAATCATTTATACATTTAATTAGAAGAGACTGGGCTTGAATTTTTAAAAAGTACTAGAAATCGTAGCCACTATATATGTTATCTTTGAAATGTTTTAGACACTAATTACCTAAACAAGGAGCAAATAAGTTAAACCTCTTGGATTTTAATAAGAGCTAAAATGTACAGTTGTATTTTCTGGTTTTTTAAATTGTTACAGTCTAAATTTATTCTTCCTAATGAAGAAATGTATGTGCCGTCAATATCAGGTTCTTTGTGGGTACTCACAGTTCCCTTTGCCTTTTACGCAGTGAATGTGGGCAACATGCGTGGAACAGAAATGATGTCGTTTTCTTTCTTTTGAATATCACTATGAATCTAATAATTCAAAGATTCCTAACTTTCTGAATGCCATTATTAATTGGATTCACAATGACTTACCAGGTACAGAGTTGTCCAGTGTGTCTTGGGGTGAACTACTGAGAGTGGTATGAGGGAAGCGATTCTCAGCTAGCACTGAGTGGGGCCACTTCCAAAGAGGTGATGGGGTAAGAAGCACACACAATGTGGCATTTTCACTGCAAAGGGAGGTTTGTGCTGCCTCTCCTCCTGTGGCAGGTCTGCTCGCAGGGGAGGCTCCAAAGTTTGGCTTTGCTGGGTTTGGCATGTGAGAACTGATGAAATATCTGTATGTAGTATCTTTCAAGGATTTATATCGGTTGGATTTCTGTGTAAATTTGCATATCCCTTTGACTGCTTTACCCTATAGAAGCTTTGTATGCTTAACAAAATCTGTAACTTTTCTGTCACTTTCTCATTTAGCATCTGCCTTTCTGGCTTTTTACTTTATCTTTTTATTATTGTTTTTAGTTTAATGAGATTATGGTTAGAGAGAAAGATGGATGCATGATTCCGCTTCTTTGGAATTTGTTGAGATTTTCCTTATGGCTCAGTACATATGTACTTGGGGGGGGTGAATGCTGTCACTTTGGAGAGATATGTTTTTTCTCTACATTAGGTCAAGCTTGTTAATTTTCTAGAGAGATGTAAATCTTCTATGTCTATGCTGATTGTTTTTTGTCTCTTTTATCAGATACTGAGATATGTATTTAAATTGCCCTCTGAGGGTTGCAATTTTGTCATATTTTGCTTTCATGTATTTTGAGTGCTAGTTATTAGATACATTAACATTTTAGATTACCTTCTCCCTTGGTTTATTAGAATTTTTATCATCATATTGTGACCTTAAAAAATCTCCCATATTGCTTTTTGCCCAAAGCCTATTTTATCTGATAATAATATAGCTTCCAACCCTTCTTTGGGTTAGGTACATATGACATGTGTATCTTTTTTCAATCTCTCTCAGTCTTTCTGTGACTTTATGTTTTAGATGTCTTTTCATACTGTTTATTTTCTGTTTTTTGTGTTTTTTTTGTGTGTTTTTTTTTTTTGATACGGAGTCTTGCTCTGTTGCCCAGGCTGGAGTGTAATGGTGTGATCTCGGCACTGCAACCTCTGCCTCCTGGATTCAAGCGATTCTCCTGCCTCAGCCTCCTGAGTAACTGGGATTACAGATGTTCACCACCACGCCGGCTAATTTTTGTATTAGCAGAGATGGGGTTTCACCATGTTGGTCAGGCTGCTCTCGAACTCCTGACCTTGTGATCCCTCCGCCTGCCTCATCCTCCCAAAGTGCTGGGATTACAGGCATGAGCCACCACGCGTGCCCTAATTCTGTTTTATAGTCATTTTCTCTTAATTATTCAGTCTATTTACATTTATTGTGATTGTTGGCATAGTTTCTTTTATAACTTTCATCGTATTTTGTGCTATTTGTTCCATCTGTTTTTATTTCTTCATGTCTTTTTTGTCTCGTTTTTGCTAATTCCTTTTATATTCATGGTTATTCTGCTCTTGAAATGTATGCTATGTGAATATATTTGTGAGTTGACAATACTTTATTAGCAATTAAATATACTATTTCTCTTTTTTTTTAGAACTTGCTCAAATGTTACATAACCTCAATATCCTTAGTATCTAAATTAAACTGACTTTCTGAACAATCATCATTTTAAGGCAGTTACCACGATCTACTAAAAAATAAAAAAAAATTAGCCAGGTGTGGTGGTGGGCGCCTGTAATCCCAGCTACTCAGGAGGCTGAGGCAGGAGAATCCCTTGACCCTGGGAGGCAGAGGCTGCAGTGAGCCGAGATAGCGCCACTGCACTCCAGCCTGGGCAACAGAGAGACTCCGTCTCAAAAAAAATAATAATAATAATAATAATAAAGGAATTTAAAAAAAGACTGGGTTTAACCATGTTGCCCAGGCCGGTCTGGAACTCCTAGGCTCAAGCAATCCCCCACGCTTGGCCAGTCCAAAGTCCTGGAATCAAAAGCGTGAGCCACCACGCCAGGCCGATCACGCCTGTCATCCCAGCACTTGGGGAGGCGGAGGTGGGTGGATCACCGGAGGTCAGGAATTTGAGACCAGCCTGGCCAACATGATGAAAACCCGTCTCTACTAAAAATACAAAAAAAAAAAATTAGCCGGGTGTGGCGGCAGGTGCCTGTAATCCCAGCTACTCAGGAGGCTGAGGCAGGAGAACCACCAAAACCCGGGATGCAGAATTCGCCGCGAGCGGAGACCCAGCCACTGCACTCCAGCCTGGGCAACAAGAGGGAAACTCCGCCTCAAAAAAAAATAATAATAATAATAAGAGACAGATTTTCACCATGTTGCCCAGGCAGGTCTGGAACTCTTAGGCTCAAGCAATTCCCCACGCTCGGTTGTCCAAAGTCCTGGGATCAAAAGCGTGAGCCACCACGCCAGGCCGATCTATTTCTTTCTGATTAATAAATTGGGCCAGGAGCGGTGGCTCACGCCTGCAGTCCCAGCACCCCGGGAGGCCGTGGTGGGCGGATCACCTGAGGTCGGGAGTTTGAGACCAGCCTGACCAACATGGAGAGACCTGTCTCTACCAGAAAAAAAAAAAAAAAAAAAAAAAAAAAAGAGCCGGGCATGGTGGCTCCCGCCTGCAATCCCAGTCACTCGGAGGCTGAGGCAGGAGAACCACCCAAACCCAGAGGCAGAGGCCGCGGGGAGCCGACACCGCACCACTGCACTCCAGCCCTGCAACAAGAGGGAAACTACGCCTCAAAAAAAAAAAGAGAGAGAGAGAGACCGGTTTTCACCATGTTGCCCAGGCTGGTCTAGAACTCCTAGGATCAAGGGATCCGCCACGCTCGGCCCGTCCAAACTCCTGGGATCAAAAGCGTGAGCCACCACGCCAGGCCGATCCTTCCTGTCATCCCAGCACTTTGGGAGGCCGAGGTGGGTTTACCTGAGGTCCGGAGTTCGAGACCAGCCTGGCCAACATGATGAAAACCCATCTCTACTAAAAATACAAAAAAAAAAAAAAAAAATTAGATGGGTGTGCTAGCGGGCGCCTGTAATCTCAGCTACTCAGGCGGCTGAGGCAGGAGAATCGCTTGAACCTGGGAGGCAGAGGTTGCAGTGAGCCGAGACAGCGCACCACTGCACTCCAGCCTGGGTGACAAAGTGAGACTCCGTCTCAAAAGTATATATATATAAAAATAAAAAATGAAATAAAAATAAATTGGGTGTGTGCGCTGGCTCACGCCTGCAATTCCAGCATCCCCGGAGGCCGAGGTGGGCGGATAACCTGAGGTCTGGAGTTTGAGATCAGCTTGCCCAGCATGGAGAAACCCCGTCTCTACCAAAAACAAATAAAAAAAAATTAGCAGAGCAATGTTGGTCAGGCCTGCAATCCCAGCCACTCCGGAGACTGAGGCAGGAGAACTACTAAAACCCTGGAGGCAGAAGTCGCTGTGAGCGGAGACCCAGCCACTGCACTCCACCCTGGGCAACAAGAGCGAAACTCCACCTCATAAAAAAAAAGAGAGAGAGAGAGAGAGAGACCGGGTTTCACCATGTTGCCCAGGCAGGTCTGGAACTCCTAGGCTCAAGGGATACCCCGCGCTGGGCCATCCAAAGTACTGGGATCACAAGCGTGAGCCACCACACCAGGACGATCTATTCCTTTCTGATTAACAAATTGGGCCGGGAGCGGTGGCTCAAGCCTGCAATCCTAGCACCTCAGGAGGCCTAGGCAGGTGGATCACCTGAGGTCGGGAGTTTCAGACCAGCCTGACCAACAGGGAGAAACCCCATCTGTACCAAAATAAAAATAAAAAAAAAAATACAAAATTAGCCGGGCTTGGTGGCTTATGCCTGCAATCCCAGCCACTCTGGAGGCTGATGCAGGACAACGACCGAAACCCGGGAGGCGGAAGTCGCGGCAAGCAGAGACCCAGCCACTGCATTCCAGCCTGGGCAACAAGAGCGAAACTCCGTCTCAAAACAACACAAAACAAAAAGACCAGGTTTCACCATGTTGCCCAGGCCTGTCTGGAACTCCAAGGCACAAGCGATCCACCCTACTTGGCCGTCCAAAGTCCTGGGATCACAAGAGTGAGCCACCACGCCAGGCAGATCAAAGCGTTGAGCTGAATAAAGAGTTATCTTTTAGCATTTTGTGGAGCCCGGGTAGATCTGTGCAGGGGGAAGCATATTACAGAAGCGAGAAACAGAGGGTTATTTAATTGAAGCACGCATTATGTTTTTTTTTTTTTTACGTTTTTAGGAAAAATATGTTTTGTGACTTGCATTTGTTTGTTTAGTGACCTTGCAGTTGCACAGTTAGGGAATTAGGGTTTTGATAATGCCTGGGAAGGGAGCGATAAGGCTCACTAGCCATAGGAAAACAGGTAGTTTTTTTAAAGGACTAAGGCTCTTTCTCATTCTCAGGGGGAATTGGGTTTTTTTTACATACAGCTGAGTTTTTGCTTACACATTTTTTCATTTCTTTTAATTCCTGTTCCAATGCCAGCATCCTTGCGGTGCGGTTTCCCAGCGGCTCTCTTGCCTTGCAGCTTGTGTCGGGAGTTGCAGACAGCCATGGCCCATGGGCCTGGCGCTGACGGACCCCGGAGCGGTGTCTGAGGGAGGTGGGCAAAGCCACTGGCTGGCCCGAGTGCATCCTCACGTAAGTGCACAGATCCCGGGCTCGGGTGCGACTGCGGTCGCACGTGGACACGGGTTGCAGACCCCTGGCAAATTGTGGAGCTGGGGGAAGGTAAGGGGAAATGTAAATCACTTTTCCCCACATTTCAGAGGACCTAGGCTATCAAAATTTTAAAAATTGTTAAAACTTTTACAGTATGGATCTCTCAGTTGAATGTTATTGAAATCAACCTAACCTCAGTTATTCACGCCTATAAGCTCCCCTTGAGGCTTATTACGGCCCCCATCCCCCTACACACAACTGTGTTGGTTTCTCCTTCCGCCTGTGCTCCTAAAGCACTCAGTGTTTACCTGCCATCATACTTTATTGAAAGCACAAACTTGTCACTTGTCTGTCTACCCCACTAAGCTTCTTGAGAATTAGAACTTTCATGTCTCTTCCCAACACAAACGTTTTATGTGTATTTTGTTGAAGAACTTCAAATATGACCTATAAAATTATGACTCATTTATGTTTCAAACTCCAACCTCTCCCTTGAGTTCCTTGCTCACAAGCAACTCCAGACTGAGCTTAGTTGGAATTCAGTAGCGCACAACTGGGATATCTGCACCGTACGGCTTTTAACAATTTTTTAAATTTTGGTCCTCTCAGCATCACAAATTCACTGTGTCCAAAATACAGTAGAATGTTGTTTCTACCCACCTACACTCTGCCATCCGCTGAAGTCCTTTCCCCTTGCTCCACCACTCAAGCCTTGCCTATCACAGTAAATGGCAGTTCTGTCTCTCCAGTTGCTCGCACATAAAACTAGGCTGCTATTTTGATGACTTCACTTTTCTCTATTCTGTATCTAATTCCTTAGCAATCCTGTCAGTTCTACCTCCAAACTGTACTCAGCATATTCACTGCTCTAACTCCAGCTTAAATCACCATCATCTTTTGCCTGGAATGCTGCATCAACCTTCTAATCACTCTACTTTCCTCCTCCTCCTTCCTCCCTTTCTTCTTCCTTCGTATAAATCATCATTTCATCCTTCTGCTTAAAATCTTCTCACATTTTCTTATTACACTTAAAACGGCAAACTCTTACCCTTGAGCCCTGCAGAATTTGGCTCCCATCAGTCTCTCCAACTTCACCTTCTGCCTCCTTCACGCTATAGCCATGCTCACTTTTTTATTCCTCAGGCTTACCAAGCTCAATTGCATCTTAGAGAATTTGTTCTTGCTGTTTCTTCCGCCTGGAATACATGTTTCCCAATCTTTATAAGACTATACTTGTCTGTAAGTTTCATCTCAGATGTCACATCTAGGAGAGGTTTTCCTTGACCACTGTAGCCAAAGCAAATGTTGATCATTGAGTGAATAAGGGAATGAATGAATGGAGTGGTATATAATGTAGCAGAGTAGATAATTTAAGGCTAATTCACTATATATCTCCAAGCAAATAGATTTGTAATGCTTTTCCTGCCAACAATCTATACAGCTGATTCACAAATACTTGGTTGACAGGTTTTATATATCATTGTGGCTCATCAGCTTATATATTGTTGGGGCCAGAATCTATACTTACACTTTATTCAAATTTGATTTTACAGAAGAGTTGAGGTTTTTATTTTTCTTTTAATTAAGAGGGCTGTGAAATTATTATCTATAATTCTAAATCTCATTTAATTCCTCCCAATAGGTTTCAAGATGGATTGGAACCAAAGTTCACTTCTTTAACAAAAGTGCTTTATGACTTTAATAAAACAGTAGAGAATGGTAGAATCCATGGCAGCTCTTTACAAAAACTTGTGATAGAAAGTTTTGATGATGAGCAGACTTTGCAACAACTGGAATTGCAAAATGAAGCAATTTTACCGTGCTTCCAGAATGCGGTTAGTGAAAGAAAGATGAAGATATCAGTCTTCTCCCAGAGAGTGAAGAACAGGAGCATGAAGAGGCTGGTTCAGAAACAGAGGCTGATGGCCAGGAGGACCTAGAAGATTTAGAGGAGGAGGAGGACGTGTCAGATATGGGTGGTGACAATCCTGAAATGGGTGAGAGAGCTAAAAACTCAAGCAAATTCAGGGCCAGGCGCGGTGGCTCACGCCTGTAATCCCAGCACTTTGGGAGGCCGAGGCAGGCGGATCACGAGGTCAGGAGATCGAGACCATCCTGGCTAACAAGGTGAAACCCCATCTCTACTAAACATACAAAAAATTAGCCAGGCGTGGTGGCAGGTGCCTGTAGTCCCAGCTACTCGGGAGGCTGAGGCAGGAGAATGCCATGAACCCGGGAGGTGGAGCTTGCAGTGAGCCTAGATCACGCCACTGCAGTCCAGCTGGGCGGCAGAGTGAGAGACTGCATCTCAAAAACAAAAACAACAATTACTTAACTTTAGGATGCTCCAATAATCAAAACTGATAGTGGCTTGTGAACAGATAGATTACTTGAATAGAATAGAGCCCAGAAATAAACCCAAATGCTTCTGGGGGAGTTTGGCACATTATAAACATGAGATTTTAAATCAATGAGGAAAAGAAATCATTTGCAGCTCACCCCACCATACACAGCAGGAATAGGAAGTCATTGGCAGAATAAAAAGATGGTAAGAACAGAACAGAATTGTAGAACAGTACATTTCTTGCTTCCCCACTTTTCAAAGTATTTTTTGCTTTTTCACAAATGTAAGTGTAATTTTATTTTCTAAATGTATACTAATTCTTTTCTTCTCTTTCTTAGATGAATGACAAAAATTACATCTTTAGAAAAAGAGTTGTTAGAAAAAAGCCTTGGCTGCATGTGGGGGAAGTGACAGCACAGAAGAGACCAGAGAAGAGCCTCCTGGAGGAGAGCCTGCACTTTGACCATGCTGTCCGGATGGGTGCAGTGCTCTTTTCTGCAAAGTGTTCACTTCTCTGCTTTTTCTATGGTCCCATTTCATAGAAAGATTTGGGGTGATGTTTCTTTCCCTCAACTTTTATTTTGAAAACTTGCAAACACAGAAAAGTTGATAAAATCATACAGTGAACATCTGTATGCTATTCAACTGGATTCACTAGTTAATGTTTTGTCACACTTGTTTTCTGTCTTCTGCGTATGGAAGATTGTATATGTGCCCTTTTTCCCTCTGAATCATTTCAAAGTAAGTTGGCAGTATCAGAGCATTTCACTGTTAAGTACTTTCGCAGATATCTTCTAGGAACCAGGACTTCTCCTATATAATCACAATACCATTAATCCACCCCCAAAATTTAACATCAATACACTAATGATACCTACTGTATAGATTATAATCAGCTTCCTTGCAGCAATCTGTTTAGAAGGCTTGCATCCTGTCACTGTCCACTGATTAAATTTTGAACTCTAACTTGAAACCCTGGTCATCTCATTGCCTTCTTTCTTATACCCATTAAGTCAAAAGGAGCTCTCATTTTATTTCAACAGAAAAGAGAATGGAAAAGAGGGGAAGAGTCCCTAGTACCTTGGATAAAGTATGAGCACTTACTACCATATGTATTCTAGTTCTGTAGTTTTCAAACTTCAGGGAGCATCTCAAGGCTTATTAAAGCACAGATAGCTGTCCTTCCCCACTTTCTGATTCAGGAGGTGTGGGGCTGGCCCAGGAATTTGCATGTCTAACAAGTTCCCACGTGTTTCTGATGCTGAGGGTCTAAGGACTACAATGCATGAATCCGTGGTTTAGTGGATATCCACCTAATGAATACATGTTGTATTTCCTTTGGCACCCGTGATTACAGAGGAAACACCTTTCAACTGGAAGGTATCATTAAACAGAGGATAAGAGATCAGGTCAGTAAGAATTAAATTTCACTTAATTGAAATGTCCCTCAAATGTTAGAAATAATATGACAGGCCAGGCACAGTGGCTCATGCCTGTAATCCCAGCACTTTGGGAGGCCAAGGCAGACGGATCACTTGAGGTCAGGAGTTCGAGACCAGCCTGTCCAAGATGGTAAAACTTCCTCTCTACTAAAAATACAAAAATTAGCTGGGCATGGTGGTGCATGCCTATAGTCCCAGGTACTCGGGAAGCTGAGGCAGGGGAATCGCTTGATCTCGGGATATGGAGGTTGCAGTGAGCTGAGATGCACCACCGCACTCCAGCCTGGGCAACAGAGTGAGACTCCATCTCAACATAAATAAATAAATAAATAAATAAGATAAAAATAAAAATAAAGGGAAGATGGGGCAGCTTTGTGTATTGCATGTCCTGAAAATGGGCTGATTTCTCTCAAGAGGCAGGGATTTAAGCTCTGTAGCCTATGTGGGATACATACAGGAGAAAAAAGAAGAAAAAGAAAAGAAATGTAAATATAAATAAATGAAAATAACACTTTTCCATGATTATAAAGGAAATCACATTGTTTTTGTAATAATTTGGATGACAAAATGTAAAGAAAAATCTTTAATTTTGCCACTCAAAACATTCCGGTTTGTTGCTTTTCACACTTTTTATGCTGTAAACATTTTAAAAAGTAGAATCACAATACATGGTCTTTTGTCACTTACTATATTTTAAGCATGTTTCTATGGAGAAATATACCCTGGCATCATCACTTTCAACAGCTGGATGTATGTTAAGTGAATCATTGCCACCCCAGAGGTGGATTTCCTTCTATATATATTTTAATGGACTCGAGTGAGGATTTTTGCACTGAATTCATAGAAGTAGAATTTCTAGAAGAAAATAATATAAAACCGTTTTAGGATTTTTAAAAGAAATGTTCAAATCATCCTATAGGAAAATTGGTTGAGTTTATGCTCCCACCAACAGGGACAGAGCTCCAGGTTCCCCCTTCCATTTGTCGTCTTCGCTGGTCTTTAAGCAGAAAATCTCATTGTTTTCATTACCTTTCTTTGATTTCTAGTGCTTTTGAATCTTTTTCATTTGCTCATTGGCCATTTTTATTCTTGTGGGAAGTGCTGGTTTCTCCATTGCCCATTTTCTGCTGCAAATCATTCATTTTTTTTTCTGAGTAATTTTAAAGATTTCTTTATAGGCTAAGGATACAAACCTTTAATCTGTCATTGAGGTTACAAAGATCTTCTCCCAGTAAGTAATTTGTCATTTCACTTTATTTATTTTTTGCTAGCAAAGCACCAAAGTCAAATTTCACTTAATTTTTATCCTGCTGAATGAACACATTTTAAGTTAGTGATTTTAGTGGAAACAGGAGCAGGAGAGAATGTAATAATTAGATCTCGCTCTGTCACCCCAACTGGAGTGCAGTGGCATGATCATAGCTACTGCAGCCTCAAACTTCTGGGCTCAAGTGATTTTCCCACCTCAGCCTCCCAAGTAGCTCTAGGACTACAGGTGTGTGCCGCCAAGCCCAGCTAATTTTTAAATTTTCTTTGTAGAGATATGAATTCGCTATGCTGCCCAGGCTGGTCTTTAACTCCTGACTTACCCCACCTTAGCTTGCCAATATGCTGGGAGTACGGGCGTGAACTACTGCTCCCGGCCAAGAGCTTACTTTGGTTTGCTAGCAAGGTTCTTGGTATCTTTTTATATTTGAGGCTTTCGTGCTAGTGCTGAAGTATTACACTCACCATCTGAGGTTTACAGGACTTTTGTTTTAATATTGAACCGAGGGAACTGTTTAGTTTTGCATCTTTGCAGGTATACAAAATGTGCCTACCAGGACTCTGCTTTATATCCATTGAAAAGCAAGAAGTAATACAGTAAAAGTTTGCCTGGCTACAGGCTTTGGAAGAATGGAGTATTCTGGTTTAATTCTATTAACTTGGAAGGATGAAGGTGGAAAAAATTCAAACCTTTAATTTCCTGTTGAATGCAATTTGAAAATATAGCCAATGAGTCCACTTTTCTTCTCTAGTAAGTTTGGACATTCAGATCTACTTGGTCTTTTATCATAGAACTCCTAGTGCGCCTGAGTCTTACGTTGTGAAAATCCTTTTCTAAAACTTTAGATGTAAGAGGATAGAAATGATATTGGATGAGATCAGGCTGGATGAGAACTGATACCTGTAGATATATTTTTTAGATGAAATCTCTGATTGCCACACGTTTTCTTATTGAACTCATAAAAATAAAACACACTGGCTGGAGGGTGGAAGTAGGAAGGAGATTTATGTCTTTTAATTGCATGTCATTGTTTCATATTGAGACAGAACGTATAGTATCCCTGGCTGTGGCCCTACAGAAGGAAACACATTTTTCTACCTGCTGTATGGCAGAGGTTCCTGAGCACCTGGAGGGATTATTGCAGCACGGATTGCTGGGCCCTACTGCAGAGTTTCTGATTCATTCATGTCTAGGGTGGGGCCTGAGAATTTACATTTATAAGAAGTTCCCAGGTGCTCCTGGTCCGGAGACTACATGTTTGAGAGCCACCCTTACATACTAACTGTAAATTGTAGATCTCTAGAAAAAAGCGTAGTTTGGACTGGGAGAAGAAGCACACAGGTAATGGAGCAAATCATGAAAAAGTCAACCCTTGATCCCAGGTAACAAGCAATACACAGTGACATAACACAATTCTTGGTTTTTATGATTGCAAGTCATAGCCAAGTATCGAGTGAGAAATTCAGTTTCATTTTCAGGGCTTAGAGGCCAGGTGATTCTAGAAAAATCGGATTTAGTGATTAACTCATGAGAGTAGGAGTTATTTATGTCCTTTTTCTCTCCCCCATCACTTAGCATTTAGCCTTACTTTAGAAGGGTCCTGTATTTGCTTTAACCTTGTAAAGAACTTTGAGTGCTTATTAAATGGAAAGCCTTGTGTGTGTGTGTGTGTGTGTGTGTCTGTGCGTGTGTGTGTGTGTGTGTGTATTTAGAGACAGAGTCACATTCTGTAGCAGCCCAGGCTGAAGTGCAGTGGCATGATTTTGGCTCACTGCAACCTCTGCCTCACAGGTTCAAGGGATTCTCCTGCCTCAGCCTCCCAAGTAGCTAGGATTACAGGCACCTGCCACCATGCCCAGCTACTTTTGTATTTTTAGTAGAGACAGGATTTCATCATGTTGGCCAGGCTGGTCTTGAACTCCTGAATTCGGGTGATCCACCCGCCCCAGCCTCCCAAAGTGCTGGGATTACAGGCATGAGCCATCATGCCTGGCTCAAAGCTTTGTATTTTTAAAGATATTAGACATGTTTCTTGTTTGTTTGTTTTTTTAAAAAAAACTAAACGCTAATGTAGGAGAATAAGAGAAAGTTTTTCCAAAAAAGAGAAAACATTGTGATTATCTTATTGGAATGTTGGATAATAAAGTCTGCTTTATCAATCATCAAGCACACTATAAAATTTCCATTTTAATAGGACTTGTACCTCAATTGAGGTAATAAAGTTTTAAAGTTTTTAAAGTGAAAGCCAGCCCCGCCCCTCTCCTGGAGTGGGCGGGGACAGCGGTTGCATAGGCAGCTTTCCTTGTGACAACACAGGTCCTTGATGACACGCTGCTGTCTGGCCACACCTCCTTTTCCTTTCATCTTTCTCATTGACCAATGGGCTTCAAGCATGAAGGCCACACCCCTATTCTGCATTCTAGTGCAGCCCTGGTTACGCCTCCTCTGGCTCAGTCACACAGCGACGTAGAGGTGACTGGAGGTATATACTTGTCCTCACCTGGATCATGCTGATGTGGCCCCAACCCCACCTCCCTACCCATCCCCACCTCCCTACCCATCCCCACCTCCCTACCCATCCCCACCTCCCTACCCATCCTATGATGTCCAAAGAAACCAGACAGAGCAAATTGGCCGAGGCCAAGGAACAGGTAAACGCACCAACACCCCAACCCAACCCGAGGCCCCCTCTGACAGCCGAACTGCTGCCAGAGTCTGTGCCACTCCTGAGGGACACCAGGCTGGGCCCCCCACCCCAGTGCCTCTGGGCTCCCCACACCAAAATCTTGTCAGCCAGCCCAACCCCCTCATAAGTCCTGCCCCTGCTCTGCCCGGCACACCAGGGTGACTTTGAGCAGGTGACTCCTGGGGCTTCCAACTCCATACTCCGCCCTTACCTCCTGCTACCCCAAACCCGACCTCCCTGGGCTCCTTGAGCTCACAGCTCCAAGGACCTGGGTGCCCCAGAACCTGCCCTCACCAGTTGCCACAGGGTGACTTTGGGGATGTGACTCCTGGAGCTCCTTGCTCCTTAATTGGCCCTCACCTCCTGCCGCCCCAAGCCTGACCTCCCGGGGCTCTTTGGGGTCACGTCTCCAAGGACCTGGCTCCCAATTTTGTGACCCCCTCCCCAGTCTCAAAGCGGCAACTTGGGCATTGCACTCATGTGTCCCCCCCAACCACTCCACCGAGGAGTAGAATGTAGTGATGTCACAGTCCCGCTACAAACTGTCATTACTACCACAAGACCGGCCTTTGGTCTTAGGACCCAGTCCCCTAAGTGTTCTTGCCCACTTCTGTTTCCTCTGGTTGCAGCACAGGTTTCCAGCTGGAAGGGGAATGGGGACTGTGGGACCTAGAAGAGAGAGGTTTCAGGCTGCCTGACTTCCTTACCACAGACCTTGACAGTGTGAAAAGCCTACACCTCCCCCAGGAGCTCAACACGTTGACAGTGTCTCTGGGTGGCAATGGGAGAACGGGTTTGGTTTGGTTTTCTCCCAGGCTTCTACTCTCCAGAGAGATTTTAACATTTTTTCTCAGTTCTGCACCTCAGATTTGAATTCTCCATTGTTCTGGGACCAGAGTGCCCCTCAGTCACTGGTTCTGGAGTGAGATCTGCTTATCTTCTGTGGAACAGATCTTGGGAAACTGAACTTAGCTTGAGTCTTCCTCATCTCATCTCAACCTGGGGTACTTTGAGTGCCACAGGATAAATATGGGGCATCTTTCTGAAGCATCAGTTTCCCTTGATTCTATTGAGAGACAAAACATTAATGTACTTAGGGATGAAAGTCACATAGATTTATAAGCGTATACAAGACTTCTCTCTGAAATGAGGCTTGGGTTGTCCTCTTTCTGTTAAATTCCCAGATTTAGCAGAAAGGCTGCCTTCTGCCATGAGGAGACATTGATGTAAAGGTTTGAGAGGTACTGGTGTACTTTTTAACACTAACAGACGTGTGAGGGTGAATAACCCTAAACCACATAGTGCACAGTTCCTGCCTACTTAATATTTGCTTTTCTACCTCTGCCTCTGGTTTTGGTCCCTGGCAGCTGCTGATTTAGGGCAAAATCCCAGAGCTCAGAGTCAGAAGACTGAGTTTAAGTTCCATTACTGCCTTTTTTTTCAGCCATGGTATCAATCTCTCTCAGTCACTAAGTGATTGTGACAACATTTCCTACAGTTGGTGGCATTAAATCAGATGGTCTATAAGAGTATTTAGTATAAACTGTAAAGCAGGATGTGACTGTAGGAGCTTGTAGTTCTCATGAGTATCACTGCTCTTCCTTTCCACAGTTGACAGACCATCATCCCCAGACCAACCCTAGTGTTGGTACAGCAGCAAGCGACACCAAAAAGAAGAAAATAAATAATGGCACTAACCCTGAGACAACCACTTCTGGTGGTTGCCACTCGCCTGAGGATGTGAGTCTTGGCTGGCCGGGCTCCTGGGGACAGAGGGCCCAAGGGGTGGTGGAGGGTAATTGTTAAGATTGTGGAAGAACTGCCAGGTACTGGCTAAGAATTCTGGGTTTGAATCCTACCCCTCCATCTGCTAGGGATATGATTTAGCGCAAATTGCTTGAGCTCTTTGGGCCTCTCTTTTCACATCCGTAAAATACGAGTGGTATTGTTTTCCTTACATTTGTGAAGTTTAAATGAGATTTGTCATTGTGTTTTTATGTTAATCCCTCGTCCAGGACCTGCTGTAAACTCTCCTTCTTGGGCTTGCGTTTCCTGAGGTAGAGTTAGAGAGTATCAGAGGTTTCTGTTAGCTCTGAGAGCCCGAGAGTTAAAGGCCCACTAGAATGGAAACCTCGGGGCCAAGGGCTCCTGTCTGC
Organism: Homo sapiens; assembly: GCF_000001405.40. NCBI lineage: Eukaryota > Metazoa > Chordata > Mammalia > Primates > Hominidae > Homo > Homo sapiens. The sequence continues at coordinate 43,639 of NW_003315943.1, read as the reverse complement.
CTTTTCTGACCTCTATTCCCGCTGTGAAGAACCGTCCCTGGCCCGTATGTGCTCAACGTTTGCTGAGTGAATGCACCTTTCTAAATCACAAGCTGGCGGAAGGGTGGGCTTTTCTCGCACTCCACCTCTGAAGGTTTCTGTTACTGTCTTTTCAAGAGAATCTAGTTTCAGACTTTGAGTTCTGTGGCTGTGGGCAAAAACCAAAAAGACCCAAATCCTTCTTCTTTGGGAGTTGAGGAGAGTTGACCAGTTCATGTTCCCATTGGGTCTGAGAACTGTGCCTTTTAAATCCATTCCTGGCCCCTGCCTATCGCTTCCTGGCCTGGGGAATAGAGTCAAGGGGGCCACCCTCAGTCACCTTCCTTTGACTCTCCCCACAGAAACAATAGAACCGAGCTCAGCTGGAAGAAGTCGTGTGATTTCTTTGCTCACGACATGACCGCTGGGTTTGGGGGCACTCAGATGTAGAGGCCCCAGGCTCATCTCACCCACTCCCAGCCTGGGGAAGAAGGCTCACCCCCAAGATTCCACCCCATCCCCACAGGGTCCCTGATAAACTGGTCCCATGGGTGGGCCTGTTCTGGGGCAGTGGTGCCATTCTGGGGGCATGTCTCTTGCTGTGCCATCTCTGCCTCCCCCTAGCAAGAGCTCTGTTTTCCTCTTTCTATAGGAACAGAAGGCAAGCCACCAACATCAGGAAGCCCTAAGGAGGGAGCTAGAGGTGAGTGGAGGGTGTGAAGTTCCCTCCTGCCCTCTGGAGAATGTTTCTTTGCTTCTCTTTCAGCATTTGCTTGTCTTTTCTCCCAAAGGCCCAGGTTCAAACCATACGAATCCTTACATGTCAGAAAACTGAGCTTCAGATGGCACTTTACTACAGCCAGCATGCTGTCAAGCAGTTGGAAGGTGGGAATCTGGCACCCCATCATCCTTCAACCTGGCACTTTGACAGGCCTTTAGGGGGAGTCCTTTGGGCCACATCTGAATGTCTCTCATTCCAGGAGAGGCCAGGGATCTGATCAGCCGCCTGCATGATTCATGGAAGTTTGCAGGAGAGTTAGAGCAGGCTCTCTCTGCTGTCGCTACACAGAAGAAGAAGGCGGATAGGGTGAGTCCAAACACGGCCCCGTCCCTTGGGAGCCCAGCTTCGCAGATGGAGGAGTGAGCCTAAAGGTCCCTTCTGTAGGATGGAGTGTCCTGCCCAGAAGGCAGCATGGCCATTTCTTGCTGCTTTTGTGTGTGGTTGTTAGAGGCAGACTGGGGCTGAGTCGGCTGTTGTGGGTGAGTTGGGGAGCACTGTGAGGAGCGAGCACTGGACATAGATCTCAGAGGCCAAGTGCCCGCCCTGCCCATACTTGGCTGTGGCCTTGGCCAAGTCCTAAGTGGCGGTTAGGGTACTTGTACCATAAAGGTACAGAAGAGTATCTTGAGTATGTTATTATTTGTGTGGAGAGAGGGGGCAGGTGTATATGTGTGTGTGTGTACGTATTATGGTAACATACATAAAACACGTTTGTAAGGATTCATTAAAAAACTCAGGATAGAGGCACAGTGTTGGGGGGAGATATTTCCCTTCTGGACTTTCTGAGTTTTGGACTATGCGAACGTATCATCCTTTCAAAAATTCAACAAAGGATTAATTTCCTCCTTCTTAACTGTGCCCCTACCTCCAGCGGAAGAATGGGCTTAGAGAATCAGATATACCTGGGTGTTGAAATGCCAGCTCCAAGTGATCTTAGGCAGCACTTAACCTTTAATACCGCATGTTTTTCATCTACACAATAGAGGTAATAATGGTAACCGTCTCCTATGGAGGTTGTGAGGATTAAATGGGATTGTTAGCATAGTGCCTGGTGAAGCACCCAATAAAGGCTCCAACAGTGGTAGTAATAACAGTAATAACAATAACAATATTATCTGATCGCTCTGGGCCCCTGTTAGCCAGCCCTAAATTCAATCTCTTTCCCTGTCCCTTCCACATCCACTGAGTTCTTTGAAAAACAAATGAGGGCCAGGTGCTCTCGCTCACGCCTGTAATGCCAGCACTTTGGGAGGCTGAGGTGGGCGGATCACCCGCGGTCAGGAGTTCAAGACTAGACTGACCAACACGAAGAAACCCCGTCTCTACTAAAAATACAAAATTAGCCCGGTGTGGTGGCACATGCCTGTAATCCCAACTACTCGGGAAGCTGAGGCAGGAGAATTGCTTGAACCCCGGAGGTGTAGGTTGTGGTGAGCTGAGATTGTGCCATTGCACTCCAGTGAGGGCAACAAGAATGAAACTCTGCCAAAAAAAAAAAAAAAAGAAAGAAAGAAAGAAAGAAAAACAAATGAGACCATGGGCTTGGAAATGCCTTGAGAACACGTCAGGTGTGATTGAGAGTGAGGAAGTGTTACTGTGGAGTAGTCACTGTAGCAGTTGTTCCTGGTCGTCCAGCTACTGCTGTGCCTGCTCTATCCTGACTTAACCTTTCTCTATTTGCAGTACATTGAGGAGTTAACAAAGGAGAGGGACGCCCTGAGTCTGGAACTGTACAGGAACACGTAGGATGGGGGAAGGTGGAATGGGAGGTCTGGGGGCCCTTAGCATGGGTGGTGTGCTGGGAGGTGGGGGGTCCAGGTGAGTGTGGGGAGAGGCTCATACATGTTTTCATGTGTGCACACGGAAGCTCTAGTGCTGGCTGTGCCACTGACTCATGGGGTAGCCTCAGGCAACTCATGTCTTCTCTCTGGCCTGCCACCTGGGACTTTTAATTCCTGGGGTCCCTTCCAGCGCCACGGTTCTGTGGTTGTGGGGCGAGGGTAGGGGGTCAATCACCAAAGTGGTCTTTTATGTTCTTCATTCATTCCTTTCTCTACTGCCTCTGGCCATAGCATAACTGATGAGGAGCTGAAGGAGAAAAATGCCAAACTACAAGAAAAACTTCAACTTGTAGAATCTGAAAAGTCTGAGATCCAGCTCAACGTAAAGGAGCTAAAAAGGAAACTGGAGAGGGCCAAGCTCCTGCTGCCACAGGTGAGCAGCTGCAGCCCCGGGGGTTGTGGGAGACCCATCCAGCTGGGACCATGGTCTAGGGATCATGCAGGGTATGGGGAGGCTCCAGCCAAGAGCTGGAAAATTTGGGTCCTTGTTCTGGCCCCGCCATAGAATCCTCTAGAGTGTACTAAAAATGTACAAATTGGGGCCCTGCCTGGGGAATCAGAATCTCAAGAGTTAGGGCTTAAAAATATTTTTTTAAAGGATCATGGATGAAAACCATTATTTTACAGATTACATTTATTTATTTATTTATTTATTTATTTATTTATTTATTTGAGAAGTAGTCTCACTCTGTCACCCAGGCCAGAGTGCAGTGGCGCAATCTCGGCTCACTGCAAGCTCCACCCCCCGGCTTCACGCCATTCTCCTGCCTCAGCCTCCCAAGTAGCTGGGACTACAGGTGCCCACCACCACACCCAGCTAATTTTTTGTATTTTTAGTAGAGACGGGGTTTCACTGTGTTAACCAGGATGGTCTCGATCTCCTGACCTCGTGATCCGCCCACCTCGGCCTCCCAAAGTGCTGGGATTACAGGCGTGAGCCACCGCGCCCAGCCTATAGATTACATTTATGTGGCTAGCTCATGATTCTGCTTCCTTCTGAGGTTCAAAAAAACACTTTCACTATTCCAGCAGCAGCTGCAGGCGGAGGCTGACCACCTGGGTAAGGAGCTGCAGAGTGTGTCAGCAAAGCTCCAAGCCCAGGTGGAAGAGAACGAGTTGTGGAACCGCCTGAACCAGCAACAGGAGGAGAAGATGTGGAGGCAGGAGGAGAAGATACAGGAGCGGGAGGAGAAGATACAGGAGCAGGAGGAGAAGATACGGGAGCAGGAGGAGAAGATGCGGAGGCAGGAGGAGATGATGTGGGAGAAGGAGGAGAAGATGCGGAGGCAGGAGGAGATGATGTGGGAGAAGGAGGAGAAGATACGGGAGCTGGAAGAGAAGATGCACGAGCAGGAGAAGATACGGGAGCAGGAAGAGAAGAGGCAGGAGGAGGAGAAGATACGCGAGCAGGAGAAGAGGCAGGAGCAGGAGGCGAAGATGTGGAGGCAGGAGGAGAAGATACGGGAGCAGGAAGAGAAGATACGGGAGCAGGAGAAAAAGATGTGGAGGCAGGAGGAGAAGATTCACGAGCAGGAGAAGATACGGGAGGAGGAGAAGAGGCAGGAGCAGGAGGAGATGTGGAGGCAGGAGGAGAAGATAAGGGAGCAGGAGGAGATATGGAGGCAAAAGGAGAAGATGCACGAGCAGGAGGAGAAGATACGGAAGCAGGAGGAGAAGGTGTGGAGGCAGGAGGAGAAGATGCACGACCAGGAGGAGAAGATACGGGAGCAGGAGGAGAAGGTGTGGAGGCAGGAGGAGAAGATACGGGAGCAGGAGGAGAAGATGTGGAGGCAGGAGGAGAAGATACGGGAGCAGGAGGAGATGTGGAGGGAGGAAGAGAAGATGCATGAGCAGGAGAAGATATGGGAGGAGGAGAAGAGGCAGGAGCAGGAGGATAAGATGTGGAGGCAGGAGGAGAAGATACGGGAGCAGGAGGAGAAGGTGTGGAGGCAGGAGGAGAAGATACGGGAGCAGGAGGAAAAGAGGCAGGAGCAGGAGGAGAAGATGTGGAAGCAGGAGGAGAAGATAAGGGAGCAGGAGGAGAAGATACGGGAGCAGGAGAAGATACGGGAGCAGGAGGAGAAGATACGAGAGCAGGAGGAGATGATGCAGGAACAGGAAGAGAAGATGGGGGAGCAGGAAGAGAAGATGCAAGAACAGGAGAAGATGCGGAGGCAGGAGGAGAAGATAAGGGAGCAGGAGGAGAAGATACGGGAGCAGAAGGAGAAGATACGGGAGCAGGAGGAGAAGATATGGGAGCAGGAGGAGAAGATACGAGAGCAGGAGGAGATGATGCAGGAACAGGAAGAGAAGATGGGGGAGCAGGAGGAGAAGATGTGGGAGCAGGAAGAGGAGATGCAAGAACAGGAGGAGAAGATGCGGAGGCAGGAGGAGAAGATAAGGGAGCAGGAGAAGAAGATACGGGAGCAGGAGGAGAAGATACGAGAGCAGGAGGAGATGATGCAGGAACAGGAAGAGAAGATGGGGGAGCAGGAGGGGAAGATGTGTGAGCAGGAAGCGAAGATGCAAGAACAGGAGGAGAAGATGCGGAGGCAGGAGGAGAAGATAAGGGAGCAGGAGAAGAAGATACGGGAGCAGGAGGAGAAGATACGAGAGCAGGAGGAGATGATGCAGGAACAGGAAGAGAAGATGTGGGAGCAGGAGGAGAAGATGTGTGAGCAGGAAGAGAAGATGCAAGAACAGGAGGAGAAGATGCGGAGGCAGGAGGAGAAGATGCGGGAGCAGGAAGTGAGGCTGCGGCAGCAGGAGGAGAAGATGCAGGAACACTAGGTGAGGCTGCAGGAGCTGGAGGAGAGGCTGGGGAAGCTGGGGCAGAAGGCCGAGCTCTTGGGGGGAGCAGGCGGAGGTGTGTGCAAACCCTGGAGATCATACAGAACGACCTCACCACAACTTAGCAGATGGTGGTTGGCTCCCTCTGCTTTTCCACCAGTCTGTGGCCTACAGTTTAAATGGTGGGAAGAAGGGTGTGAGATTTGAGGCTGGGGAGGGAGGCATGGGCCTCTAGGCAAGGGAGGCAGTCATTTAGGCCTGGAGGAAGGGGCCAGGGCCAGGGGCCTGGGTAGGCGACAGAGCCCCGCAGTGCCCTCACTACCCTGTTTATGGGCCCAGAATCTGGAAGCCAGCCACTACCTACCCTGACGCCTATCCTGCAGGTGGAGCTGAAGAGCCAAGAGGCTGAGTCTGCAGCAGCAGCGAGACCATTACCTGGGTCACCTGCAGCAGTACGTGGCCGCCTATCAGCAGCTGGCCTCTGAGAAGGAGGCACTGCCCAGCTGCAGCAGCAGGAAGCTCAGGGCGAAGCGGTGGCCGAGATGGCCCACCGATAGTTGCAGGAGACCCGGTTGAGGGAGTTGATGAGGGCGGGGCCCCAAGGGGGATGATCTGGCAACCTCCGTGCCTTCTCACTCTCTTTCCTGGCCCCTTAGGAGCACCTGGAAGCTGCCATCTAATGAGCACATGACAAGAAGGCAAAGACAATAAACATGTAAAAGCCGGCAGCAAGGCCTGGAGAAGAGTAAGCCGCCATGTGACTGTTTAGAATATAGTCTGAGCACAAACCTGAAAAAAAAATTTTATTTATTTTAAATTGTGGCAAAATACTGGCCAGGCATGGTAGCTCACGCCTGTAATCCTAGCAATTTGGGAGGCCGAGGTAAATGGATGACCTGAGGTCAAGAGTTCAAGACCAGCCTGGCCAATACAAAAATTAGCCGGGCATGGTGGCGCATGCCTGTAATCCCAGCTACTTGGGAGGCTGAGGCAGGAGAATCGCTTGAACCTGGGAGGCAGAGGTTGCAGTGAGCTGAGATCGTGCCACTGCACTCAAGCCTGGGTGACAGAGCGAAACTCCGTCTCAAAAAAAAAAGTTTCTTCCTTACATGTATGTTTCTATTAGTTTTCTTCTTGGTCTTTCTCATTTAGTCTTGTGTTGTCTTTTGGCATTCATAGTAAACTTTTATCTGCCTCCAGAGAGTATTGACTTTGAGTTTATGGCACACAATTGGAGTAAGGGCAGATCGCCTTCATCTACTTCGGGACTAAGCTGGTTCAAAGCAGGTTTTAGGTTTTCTGATGGCTGGTCTATGTTTTATTCATTTGGACTCCCAGGGGTGGCCCTTCCAGGGTCCCCACCAAGGTCCCATCTCCCTCCTGGGACCCAAATTCTCATTAGGTCATTTCAGCCCTGTGAGAGTGCCAAACATTCAGCTAGGCTCTCCAGCCTCTTAACTACCACTTCATACTCAGTTTCTTAGCCTCTTAGCCCTCTACTGTTGACCAATCACCAAATGTGGGAAAGCACTACAGACTGTCAGGATCACCTCCTAGGCCTGGTCACTCAAGTCCTGACTGAGGTCTCCAATTACCTTCCAACAATTGTTTTTGATTGGGGGCGGGGCACATTTTTATCCAGTTTTTCTAACTGCTCTTGTGGGGAGGCGAATCTGTAACAAGCTCCTCTGCCTTTATTGAAAGTTGAAAACCTTCATCTGTCCTTTTTTTGTTGTTGTTGAGATGGAGTCTTGCGCTGTTGCCCAGGCTCTAGTGCAATGGCACGATCTCTGCTCACTGTAACCTCTGCCTCCTGGGTTCAAGCAATTCTCCTGCCTCAGCTTCCCGAGTAGCGTGTGCCACCATGCCTGGCTAATTTTTTTTTATACCTTTAATAGAGGCAGGATTTCACCATGTTTTCCAGGCTGGTCTCGAGCTCCTGACTCAGGTGATCTACCTGCCTCAGCCTCCCAAAGTGCTGGGATTACAAGTATGAGCCACTGCATCCGGCCCATCTGTCTTTTAAAACATGTTTTTAATTGGAGGTATAATTTCTATTAGTGAAATGCACAGGTCTGGTTTACATTTTGATGAGTTTTAACTCATTTAACATTACTATGGAACCCACCTCCTTTGAAGATACAGAGTATTTCTATCATCCAGAAAGTTCTCCTGTGCTTTCATGCTGTCCCGCACTCCCCCAGCAGCTGATGAACATGCTGAGGACATTGGTACTGGATTCTGGCCGCCCCAAAAGAGCCGCTTTGACCAGGCTTACCCAGCACTAAATCCCTGCCTGCTCTCTCAAAATTTCCATCTTTAAACTGGTTGTACCTATAACCCTCCCTCATCAAGTCAATAGATAAACAAACCCTGAAAAATAAACAACTCTTCCTGGCCCAGCAGCCCACAGCCTAATATTTACTGTATTCCCAGGCTTTCAGAAATGTAACTCGCCTGCCGGTTCACCCTCACTAGGGCGGCAGCTGCACGGGAGCAGCTGGGCTCACCCATTAAGCAAGAAGCCAATAGCTGGACAGTGACACTCAGACCCCAGGCTGGGCGAGCCTGGCTGAAAGCCCCCTTCTTTCCATCCGACTGTGGAGAAAGGGGGCGGAGCACACACAACTCTACTGCCCTCCACATCCTTCACCCGTGCTTCCTCCTGGGAGAGGGAGCCGCTCATTAATTTGGCCAAAGCCTTCTTGAGGGCTGTAGGTTTCACAGGCTGGGTGTGTGGGGGCCACCGTGCTAGAGACAGAGGCTGGTGTGTCAGAAGGTAGCCACCTGGCCAGAGGGGGGTCAACCCCCTTGGTGACCTCCTTCCCCCGGCTGGACACAGTGCCCTGCACTCTCTACATGTGACTGTTCCCCTCAGAGCTGCTTCCAGGGGAGGGGTTCTAATCCTGTGGGTGGGGACATTGTGTTACTTTACAGTGGGCCATGGCTCCCTCTGACATCTCCAACTCAGAGGCAGTAGAGAGAAGATGAGAAATTCCCTGCCCCTCCTCCCTCAGCACCCCCACCTCTGCACATGTCCACATGTGGAGACCCTGACAATGGGCCCTGGGAGTGCCGCCATCTGTGCCTGCTTTCCATGCCTGCAGCAGCCATGCCCACTCTCCAGACCCTCACCCGCCTGGGTCAGTAGACGCTTCACTGCCTGTGGTCCTGCGCCTACACCTGGGCCTCTGTACCCGTCAGTTCCCCCAGTCTGGTTCTTATTCCCTGCAAAGAGTAGGGAGCCTATAAGGTCACCTGTTGAGCAAGCTGGGGGAGAGAGTAGGGTGGGGCTGGGAGGATGAGGAGGAGAAGCTCATGGTCGTGCTGGAGACTCAGCTGAGCAGAGTCTATGCAGGCCCATTGGCTGCCTAGCCAGTGGTGATCTCGCTCCCACCCTCATTTCTTCTTTGTTAACAAAACCATGACCTCATTAAATACTGGACACCTATAAACCTCATGGACCCTCCTCCAGCCTCCCCACCGTGTACCGGTGAGTCTAAGTCAACTCTAGTCATTTCATTCCTCTGGACATTGACTGCTTAGGGCTTGGGCATGAGCTTCCTCTTCACCTGAGCCTGAGCCACAGGTACCCTCTGCACCTACCACGCTGATGCACTGGGCCAGGGAGAGCGCCGTCTGGATGGAGATGAGCTGTGAGGAGCTGGTGGCTGGGCGGATCAGGTTGTTGTAACAGGTTTTGTTCAGAAGGTCGTCCATCAGTTTCTGCTCGGCATGGGCCATGCGGCAGTCCCCTGGGTAAACACACAGACATGCTGGGCCCTTGTGCAGCTGTCTCCCACTGCAGCTGACAGCTATGAAGCAGGAGCTGAGAGGGCCAGGGAGCACAGACACCCTGAGAGCTGGCTGAAGCAGTGAAGGTGCTGGCCGGCCTGGCTTTCCCTGGGGACTTCAAATGACATTCACGACAGAGCTCAGCTACCTCCTCCCCATGCCATATCTCTTCCTCCTCCTCCTCCCTCCGTCAATGAACAGCATCCCACGCTCTACACATCTGATACAAAACTGGGTGTCTCTTCCTGACTCCTCCCTTGGTTCACCCAAGTGGCCACCAAGTCCTGTCTGTCCTCCCATCTCCACGGCTACAGCCATGTCCCTGCCTCCCCCGCCCTGCCCACCTTCTATTCTCTCCACCTGCACTCTGCCCCTGCCATCCATGTGCCATACAGTGGCAGACTGATCTTTCTACAGCAAACTGGACGAGGGCCCTTCCCTACCCACAGCTCTCAGAGCTGGAGGTGGAGTTGAAGCTCATGTTTTGGCTTGGCATTCAGAGCTCTTTCCCCCTCAGCACTGGCTTATCCAGAGTGCTCACAGTGCAGGGCAGGAGCCTCGTGACTCAAATGTGGGTTTGGTGCAGAACTGGGTCTGAGGTGGTGCTTTCCCTGTGAAGAGACAGGGCCGACATGGGGGAATTTTCTGGGTTCAAAGTTAGACCTACAGAGTGCAAAGTTTCTCTGAGGCACCAAATGGAGGGGTCCAGCTAGCAGCTGGCTCCTGGTCTGGAGCTTCAAGGAGAGGTCTCAGCTCAGAGCCACATTCAATAGCCAGCTTACATGTGGCCTCCTGCAGGGAGCCCCTGGAGCTTCCACAGCCTCCGTTCTGCCCCTCTGCATACCCCAGATCTCCTGCTAAGTGGCGTTTGGGTCTTCATGTCATCTCCCTCCCATGTCTGGGAGTAAAGGTGAGGTGCAGGGACTTGCGCTTGTGTACTCTGGTGTCTTAAGGGAGAGTGTGTCAAGTAGAGTGGAGGCGGCTTGGAAAGAGGGAGACTCAGAGGAGAGTGAAGGACACATGACCAGGCGAGCCTGGGAGCAGGAAAAGAGAGTGAGCAGAGGCAACTGCTGGGTCAGGGGAGCGGATGGGAGGATCAGGGAATGCGGGGGGGCTGGAGAGGTAGGGGTGGGGATGTTGGCGAGGGGCTGCCTGGCTCGCCAGGCTCAGGAGTCAGTTACATCCTCCCACAAGGGCCAGCTCACCTGGTCGCCCCAAAGACCTCCCTCTGTGGGTGGGACCAGAGGGCCAAGAGCACGGATAACCCAATTGAGCAGGACTGAGGCGGACTCAGGTGGGTGCTGGGCCGGACTCCTGGCTGTGGGGAGCAGCCGCCACCCTGCCTATTGCATCCACTTTCCAACTCGCTGCCTATCTGAGCAGATGCGATATTGGGCACCTTGTGAAACATGCTCCTGGTGCACCTGCTGCCTGCTGCCCCTCCTGCAGAGTGCCCGGGCTCTCCAGAGGGGATTCCTATGGAGGCTTGGCCTAGATTCTGAGTCCTGCCTCTCATACCTGGGGCTGCTACCCCAGAGGCCAGCTGCTTGAGTACCCCGGAAGCCAGTCTGTAGCCCCAGGCTACAGCTGGGTCCATCCCACAGCCCTTCTCTAATGTACCTATTTGGACTGGCTGCTCATTTCATAGAGAGGGGTGTGTCTTGCCCCAGACCATCTGGCATGTCTAAGGCAGCTGTGGGGTCAGAATCTGCAGCTCCCAGCCCTCAGCCCAGCAATAGTAGGAAAGGCTGGACCCCACATCTCTGAAGTCCCACTGGGTGGGTGTGAGCGGGCTCCCGAGTACAGGGCTGCTCTGCAGGCTGTGGGGCTCATGCGCCAGCTCTGAGCCCACCTGATGTGCTCACGTTGCTCACCTTTGGGCCTGTCCTGCCTCTCAGGCATTCGGCTGACCCTGAGGGCCTCTCCCTCATCTTGACCACCAGCTACGGGCTCTGATTTAGAGGTTCCCAGAACCTTAGACCATTTGGCCGGCCCCCCATTTCTCACCTGAGGAAACTGAGACCAGAGAGGGATAGCAACTTTCTCAAGGACCCCCAGCAATTCAGAGGCAGAACCAGGTCTAGGAGCCTCTTCTCGATAGAGGTTCCCCCTGTCCCCTGAGCCTTCGTTAGTGCCTCATTAACTTCCCTGTAAGGAAACTGCCCCGCTGAGGCTGGAAATGGTGCTGTCCAGAGTGGTGTGTGCCAGTGACTGTGCTTGTGTTTGTACTTGTGAGTGTGTATGGGGGTGGGGATGAGGGGTGGGAATAAACGGCAGGGATGCCGGGGGCTGGATGCACTCCACCTCACCCCAAAAAGGGGCGCAGGAGAGCCCAGCCAAGCACAGCACATGCTTCGACTTTCCAATCTGCTGAATGCCTGTGAGGCCGGCTGGGCCCAGAAGACAAGGGACAGGCCTTTCCCCATAGATGGCAGGGGGGACCCAGGATGGGTGGAAGCTTCTGCCGCAGCTTTGGGGGTCACAACCCAGCCCATGGGCTGACACTTAAGCAGAAAAGCCACCTCTAGGGGTCAGTCATAATCTAGTGATTCTGATGAGGAGGGCCCCACCAACCTCTGTCCAGGGTCTTGTCTGGGAAAAACTGCTCCCTGGCAGAAAGAGGCTAATAATTTGAGAGGAAGCCATAGCTGAAACCCTAAGCTGTGTGAGTGTGTGTCCAGTTTGAGAAAGCATATCCGACTTAAACATTTGTATTGAAAAAATGGAAACATATTCCCCTTGTTTTGGAATACAAACTGCAGAAAGCAGCAGTTAACAGAATCTTATCGGAAAGGTCAGACTCTGCATCTGGAAAGGCACAGTGATTTTCAACTGCGGTGTGTGTCCTTAACTGAGGAAGGGAAGGTAAGATTTATGTTTAGTAAAAGGCAGCTATGAATTTACCTTTTATAAAGAGCTTGCTATATACTATTAGTGCTTTTCAGTCATGTCAGAATCAGCCAGATGCCTGTGGAAATGCAAATTCCCAGGCTTCATTCCCAGAGATTCTGGTCCTGTGAGCCTAGGGTGGGGCCCAGAAATCTCTATGGGGTGGTGCAGCCTGCCCCAGGACCACACCAAGAAACACTGCAACTGGCCCACACACATCCCAGTCCACAAATATGTAGGCAGGCATCTTATCTCCACAGAACAGATAGGGAAACTGAGGTCAGAGTGGGGAAAGAAACGTCATGGGGCCACCCAGCAAGTAGTAGCAGAGCCACGATACACCCACTGCCTGCAGACACCATCTCTGATGACAGCTCCACCTCCCCACAGGAATCTTGCCTACCCCCACCCCTACCTCCTGCTGCCCCTATGGTGGGTCTCTGTCCAAGGAAGATGTATCCTAGGTCCTCTAGGCTGACTGCGGCTCAGAGGAAACCTTGGCCCAGAGTGTAGGAGCTAGAGGGGTCCTTGGAATTCACGTGGGGAATTTGAGGCCCAAAGAAGGCAGTCCTCACATTTGAACTCTGTCTGGAGAAGGGCTAGGTCTTCTTCCTGAGTGGTAGTTTTGACTTCACCAGCCTGGCCCTCAGTCAAGCTGGCTGTCCAGGCCCGCCACACCTCGGGGTGGGTGACCAGAGGCGGTGGTGCCATAAAACACGTTTCCTGGGAGATCCACCCCCAAAGCTCAAAACATTCCAGGGCTGGTGATTTGGGCAAGCCCCCTTCCCTCTCAGCCCAGTTTCCCCATCTCTGCAACAGCCGTGCTGGTGGAGACTTCTGATACTGAGCTGCAGATTTTCTCCTGGGTGCCTACACAGCCCAGGTTGCCGGCTCCTCTGTGCCCACTCTTCAAGAAAGTCAGCTCTTAGGTAAGGAAGGTGCCTTGGCCCTATCAGGAGCAGGAGCCGGTGCACCCCCAGCTTCCCAGGCCAGTGGGGATGACCCAGGCTGCCTACAAAGCTGCTGCCCAGCCCAGAGACACCCGCCTGGGAGGGTGGCCCTGGCCCTTGCAGCGGCTCTGAGAAGAGTCGGCCCCCACTCCAAAACTGGCAGAGCCACCCATGCCTTCCCTCAGCCCAAAGAGGCTTTTAGGAAAATGAATCGTCTCAAGTTCAAACCCATGGGGTTGCTGAAAGACAAGACAGTGCAGGGTGAGCTGGTGCGAGGGAGCGCTGCTCGGTGCAGACTTTGCAGGGAGGGCACTTAGGAAAAAGGACTGGAGTCTGGGAGGGTTAACTAGCTTAGGGTTAAAGGGAGGGGATGGAGCTGGAGTGAGCTGGCCTCGTCCTCCCCCTTGGGCCTTCCAGCCTGGGCTCAGGTGATTCAAGGGAGCAAGCACCTCCCTCTCCCAGCCAGGGAGTTCTCGCCACATTCTGCAATCAGTACCATTCCCCTGGGGGCTGGGTGACAGCCCCCACCTCTGGACCTGGCTGGAACTGCTGTCTCAATTCTAGATCCAAAAGAATCTCTGGCAGCTTCTCCATCTCCCTCTCAGTCCAGCCTCACCTCTTCGCCCGTGGAGGAGCTCCAACAGCAAATCTGGCAACTGGAGGAACAAGGCAGGAAGGGCAGGGTCTGAGGAAGGAACCACCTTCAAAAGGCAGCTCTGCCACCTTCTCTCCAGGACTCTCAGGCTTGCTTTCCTATTGCTCCCTCGACATCCTTTTGCTATAATCTGCCATGTTGACGTATAGTCTTTAAAAGCAACAATGCTGTTGACGTGGAGCAGACTTCCCATTTGGGATGGTTTGGAGAAGTTAGGTTTGAGGGCATCCTCTCTTCTGCAAACTGCAGCAGTAATAGATGAGATATACAAAGTAAATAAAGGCTGGGTGCGGTGGTCGTGCCTGTAATCCCAGCACTCTGGGAGGCTGAGGCAGGAGGATCACTTGAAGCCAGGAGTTCGAGACCAGCCTGGCCAATATGGCGACACCCTGTCTCTACTAAAAATGTAAAAATTAGCTGGGCATAGTGGTGCACACCTGTAGTCCCAGCTACTCAGGAGGCTGAGGCAGGAGAATCACTTGAACCCGGGAGGCAGAGGCTGCAGTGAAATGAGATCCCGCCACTGCATTCCAGCCTGGGCGACAGAGTGAGACTCCATCTCAAAAAATAAAAATAAAAAATAAAGTAAATAAAAAAGACATGCCCAGGCTGAAAAATAAGTTAATTATCTCCATGAACGAAAAGCAGACAAGAAATGCAAAGTGGTTGGAGGCTGAAGAGCCTGGACCCTCCTGGGCTTTGGGAACCAAAGATGGTGGCAAGTCCTTTGGGATAAAGAGGGACAAAATGACTCCTAGCTAGAAGCTGGGAGCTTGGGTGTACCCCAGTACTTGAAAGGATGCTAGCTGGGCGCGGTGGCTAATGCCTGTAATACCAGCACTTTGGGAGGCCGAGGGAAAGTAACTCTTATGTCAGTGTGAAGCAAATCAGACAGGACAGGGGAACATGGAGGGGAGGAGAGCCAAACCAGGGCCTGGTTCCAGACCCACCACACCCGCCCCGTTGAGCCAGGAGCACAGGTGGCTCTCTGCACAACATCAAGAGCGAGGACATGCTTTCAGCTCCACTTTAACTCAGGTTCCTAATGTGACAGCAGGCTTGTCAATCCCACTTGCCCCCGTGTCTCACACCAGAAAACTACCAGCAGTGTGAGTAAGGACAGAAGCAGGAGACAGAGGAGCCAGGGTTGGGGAATCCCATAGCAACCCACAGGCCCTCATCACACACGGCAAGGATGCGCCTTCACTGGGCTCACCACCACCACTCGACATCACCTTCACTACATGATACCCTGCCTGGATAACACCACTGTAACACAAGAAACAGGTCTAGAATCTAGCATGTATGCTACACCTGAAGGAGCAAGAGACGGTAATACAATACAATGAAATTTTTAGTTTATTTAATATAAAATTTAGAGCCATAATCAAAATGTGTAATTCTGATGGGATTCACTACTTATAAAAACTTTGCAGCGCTCTATTTTCAAATGTAAATGGTATTCTGTGGCTCCTCGCCAGCAAGTAAATAACGATCTACTCTGAAATACGTTTCACGGCTTATTTTTGGCAAGCAGCGATTTCTCCAACTCACGTTTTCCAAGGGAAAAAAGGACATGAAATGTCTCCAAAAGTCTCTTACGATCTTTAGATAAACTACTGTTCAACAACTGCATCTGCCAAGTCAACACATCAAGAATCCTTCACTCACAAACACTTAAGGTGAGAAAACAGTGTCTACCCATGCGGGAGAGGGACACATGATCCATGCTTATGAAGACAGCCTGGATATCGGCTACTGGAAAGCTGCGAATGCATTTTTCTTTTTCTACTTTCCAAAATTTTTGTGAGGTGATACTTATTTCTATGTTTGTGTCTATTCTTTCTATTTTGTATTTTTTAGTAGGTACATCCTTACTATAAATCTGCTGTAGAACCAATGTCCCATACAGGACCCCACGTGCCACAGGAACCAAAAAGTCACACGCAGCGAAGACGAAGACACAGGAGACAACCTGTGTGGACAGCACAGAGCCACCTGCCCAGGACACCAATGGAGCCACAGGTGCAATTCAGAATGTTCTTAGTCGTATTAATAAACATGGCCAGGTGCGGTGGCTCACGCCGGTAATCCCAACACTTTGGGAGGCTGAGGTGGGCAGATTACCTGAGTTTGGGAGTTCAAGACCGTCCTGGCCAACATGGTGAAACCCCATCTCTACTAAAAATACAAAAATCAGCCAGGTATGGTGGCATGCTTCTGTTAGTCCCAGCCACTCAGGAGGTTGAGGCAGGAGAATCATTTGAACCCAGGAGGCAGAGGCTGCAGTGAGCTGAGATCGTGCTACTGCACTCCAGTCCAGGCAACAGAGTGAGGATCCATCTCCGGGTGGGGAAAAAAAATTGTTCTTAGTCACATTAACAAAAGTAAAAAAAAAAAAAAAACACACCAACAAGAAAAACAACAACACATAAAATTAATTGTACTAATGGCTGGTTGCAGTGGCTCATGCCTGTAATCCCAGCACTCTGGGAAGCCAAAGCGGGCAGATTACTTGAGGTCAGGAGTTCGAGACCAGCCTGGCCAACATGGTGAAACTCTGTCTCTACAAAAATACAAAAATCAGCCAGGCGTGGTGGTAGTCCCAGCTGCTCGGGAGTCTGTAGTCCTGTAGTCCCAGCTGCTCAGGAGGCTGAGGCAGGAGAATCACTTGAACCCAAGAGGCGGAGGTTGCAGTGAGCCAAGATTGCACCACTGCACTCCGGTCTGGTCAACAGAGTAAGATTCCATCTTAAAAAATAAAAATAATTTTAATAATGTATCATAGTTATTCCAACAGATCAAAAATATGACCATTTCAACATGAAATCAATCTAAGAAAAATTATTGAGATATTTTACATAGGTTATTTCATATTAAGTCCTCAAAAACCATCTGAGTAGCTTACATATGTAACACATTTCAATTTGGACCGTGAAATTTGCATTGAAAACATCTGATCTCCATTTAGACTCATAAAATACACAGTTGACAAAGTAGACTCCCAAGGCCAAGTGATTCTAAACATACTTAAGTGCTTTCTAATAACAGAATCAAATTTTCAAACCTGCATTTTAATGAATAAAAATTAAACAGATAAAATATTCAGTGTCTCAGCTATGACGGACAGACTTCAAGTGCTGATCAGCAAACGGTGTTGAGTGTAGCCAGATGGGCCAGCGCAGGCTACACAGCTGCAGCTCAAACAGCACAGCTGCAGGTCAAACAGGCCAGTCTCTCTGCGCACGGGAACAGTCTGGGCAAGCAGGAGACGGGGAAAACGGGCACTGCCCTCGTGAGAACAAAGGACCCACAACAGGAACCCTGCACTCACCCCCTGCCAAAGACCAACAGCCCCACGAAGCAGCCACTTCAGAAAAGGGAGAGGCATTCAAGAACTTAGAAAAGCACCTCTGGAAAATGCTCACTTTAAAACTTTGCATGTAACTGTACATTTTAATTACAAGGTTTTTAACATCCATTTTCTCATGTATTCTTAATTAACTCTGTGAAAGTAAACACAGCTTTTATTCTTACTCCTATAGTTACTGTGTTGGAAGTCCACCTATATGAACAAACTGTTGTAACTGAAATTTTCTGAGAACAAATCCCAAGCTCTTTCCATCGACACAAACTATATTGTTTAGTTCTCTTTATTTCCATTTGTTAAAGACCAGAATGTGTGAAATATGCATTATCAGATTAGAAAAACAAAACAAACATCAGAAAAAGGTTTTGCAAAATAGCATTTACTAAAATCTATGACAGAAACTAGCTCTAAAACTTCCTGTTTCAAAATTTCACTGTGTGTGCACTAAGTTAGTTTTGCTGGCTGTGGACAGCAGGCCCACCCCATGCCGCGGGCCCACCCCACGCCGCGGGCCCACCCCACGCCGCGGGCCCACCCCACGCCACGGGCCCACCCCACGCCACAGACCCACCATGGCCCCATGAACAGGCCAGCTGAGAGCTGCAGCCACTGCCCAGGGCTCCCTGGTCTGTACTCGGCTGCCTGACCCAAGCTGCCAGGGCTCTGCTTTCTCTATGTGTAGAAACAAAAACCAGGAGCATCAGTTGACGAAAAGCAGATTTTTATTGAACAGAGGTATAAATGTGTTTCATTTTCTAATAAATCTCTTTCACAAATCACCTTGCTGTTTCGCTCTTCTTGAATGATCATTTTTACACAACACTGTCTGACTGTTTTGGCTTCTGCCAAGGTTAGCGTCTGTTCACAGGCTGAGTCTGACTTCCTCCTCCCACCTCCTCCTAGTCTGGCCTTCCAAAATAATGCTCACCATTCTATCACATTGACTTCAGTTTTGAAAAGAAAAGTTATCTTACAAAGTAGTAGGTACAACTCTGTAATATGTAAAGTGAGGCAATGATAGAACCAGTTTTAAAAATAACCTTCCATGATGATTTTCATTCGCACCTACCTGCTTATTAGTAAGAATCTTTTTACATGTTTACTGCACGCCCCAATTTCTCTTCTGTGAAAAACTTCTGAGTATCATCACACCCTCCAACTTCTCCTCTCACCTATATTGAGAAGGGTCTGCTCTTTATCCTAACATCTATACTAGGTAATTTTCAGAATATTCCTTCAATCATCAAACAAATTTTTGAGACCCTTGCGCTAGATTTCACTATCTTAATATGAAAACCAATAATCACCTATTAAAATACAATACAGGCCGGGAACAGTGGCTAACACCTGTAATCCCAACATTTTGAGAGGCCAAGGCAGGTGGGTCACCTGACGTCAGGAATTTGAGACCAGCCTGACCAATATGGTAAAACCCCATCTCTACTAAAAATACACAAATCAGCCAGGTGTGGTTGCAGACGCCTGTAGTCCCAGCTACTCGGGAGGCTGAGGCAGGAGAATAGCTTGAACCCAGGAGGCGGGGGTTGCAGTGAGCCAAGATCGTGACACTGCACTCCAGCCTGGACGATAGAGCAAGACTCCATCTCAAAAAAAAAACAAAAAACAAAAAACACCATTAATAAGTAAATAAATAGGCCAGGCGTGGTGGCTAATGCCTGTAATCCCAACATTTTGGGAGGCCAAAGTGGATGGACCACCTGAGGTCGGGAGTTCAAGACCGGCCTGACCAACATGAAGAAACCCTGTCTCTAATAAAACTACAAAATTAGTGGGGCATGGTGGCGCATGCCTGTAATCCCAGCTGCTCGAGAGGCTGAGGCAGAGGAATTACTTGAACCTGGGAGGCGGAGGTTGCAGTGAGTCAAGATCGCACCACTGCACTCCGGCCTGGGCAACAAGAGCGAAACTCTGTCTCAAAAAAAAAAAAGTAAATAAATAAAACACAATACAATACAGCTAATATGATTTACCTAAGAAGCTGTTGTATGAGCTGAACCAGAGGCAAACACTGTTTGCCAGAAGACTCACAGATCCCCGTATTAATAAGGTCTTTATCCAATGGAGTCCTCCTTCTATGAAATGTTGAGGCATTTGCCTCCTGTTCATAAATTTCTTTTTCCTTCCGTGCTTCTTTTTTTGTATCCTGTAATTGACAAACAGAAATTGTTTACAAGTGATCTCATTACCAGGTGTGAAGGCACACAGGCTGGCTGAGCCCTGACCCCAGTGCCAAGCTATCCCAGCCTCTGTGGCTGCCACACCCATCCACCCACAGGCCCCCCACCTGCCCTGTTGGAAACCCCAACTCATTTGTGCAGTTTCAAACAGTGTCTTCTTTTTACAGATCCAAGGTCCAGGCTGCCTCTGCTGATGCTCTCCAGCCTCCTTCTGTGAAGTCCCTAAAATCCTTAACCCTGCTAATGGCTCACACAAAACCCAATGTGATCGGCTCCACACACGCAGCATCCAGCTGCTCTGTAAGGACAAGAAGGAGCTAGAATTCTCACACACAAAAGTCCTGGTTCAAATGCAAATGGCAAAGCCACTTTGGGAAACTATGAACACACACTTACCCCAGGACCTAACAAATTCCACTCCAAGTGTTTATCCAAAGGGAGAACATATGTTCACTAAAGTACTTGTTCACAGCACAATTGTGGCAGCTCTACACGGCCAAAAACCAGAAAGCCTGGGCGCGGTGGCTCACGCTTGTAATCCCAACACTTTGGGAGGCCAAGGTGGGGGGATCACTGGAGCCCAGGAGTTGAAGACCAGCCTTGCAACACAGTGAAACCTTGTCTCTACAAAAAAATCAAAAAACTAGCCGGGCATGGTGACATGTATGTGGTCCCTGCAACACAGGAGGCTGAGGTGGGAGGATCATTTGAGCCTAGGAGGACAAGGCTGCAGTGAGCCAACCTCAGGTCACTGTATACAGCCTGGGTGACAGAGCAAGACCCTGTCTCAAAAAAAAAAAAAAAAAAAGAAAACAAAAACCAAAAACAATTACATGTCCTTCAATAGGAGAATGAACTAACAAACAGTACTACACCTATAAAATGGAAAACTTCCCAATAATAAAAACGAAGTCGCAATACACACAACAGTGAGTGAATCTGAAAATCATTCTCCAAGGCAAAGCAGGAAAGAGTGCATACTATACAGTTATATTGCTGCGACACTCAGAGCAGGAAAAATGAATCTAATCTCAGGGCAGGGGAGTATCCTGGCTGCAAGTGCCAAGGAGCACAGGGATCTTTCCGGGTGACGGGAATGGTCTACATGAGGAACAGGTTACCTGTTAACTTCACTGAAACAGACAACATGCAGTATTTTATCACAAATCATCTCAATAATTTTTAAAATTAGCACATAAAAGAATTTTAATTTAAAAAAATACTTGGATATAAGTTTAGTGTTTTACTGTTTTCAGTTATTCTTCACATGTGTGAGTGTGGTATTTCCGATCTCAGCCCACCACCAGGTCACGTGTGCCTCCAAGGCCATACCTGGATCTCTGCAGTAATGGCTGCGTGTAAGGCTGACTCCAACCCTCCATCAGCCATCAAGCTGCCCACCAGAAGATCAATCACCAATCGATGACCTGGACTTATGTTCACTTCATTGCCTGAAACTGAAATAGAAAGTCTGTGCCAATTTGAGTGAAACGCCATCCCCTCCCAGCACCCTGACCCATGCCCTCTCCTGTTCCTTCCCCGAGCCCACCTCCACAGGACAGGAGAGCAGAGTGCCCGGGCCTGCTTCTCAGCGGTGGGCAACAGCATGGACCAGCCGCTCTGCAGCATGGCCTGGGAGGCCGACTGCACGGTGCTCAGCACGTCTGCGCTGCTTGCCAGGGTCACCACCTTCTGCTTCAGGCTGTTCAGGAAGACGCTGCCCAGACCTAAACCAAGGAATTCCAGGTCAACCTGGTGACTAATGGCAGCATGCAACTGAAAGGAGAAAAACAATTTTCACTTAGAACCCCTAAAAATGAGTGAATTTCAAAGTCTTATTAAACACTGAATAAAAGTCAATTTGAAGTATTATTTAAATAGACAAAATAACTTCTCAGTTTACGTATTTTTAAAAACTGGACTAAAAAAACTCTTACCCACAATAGTTGAAATATTTTCTAGAGGAATTTTTTTTAACCCCGCTATGAACACATATATGGAAAAGCTCAAGATGAGCAGAAGAGCTAAACAACTAGCAACAGCAACCTCCACCCCGCCCCAACAATCTGCACCAAACACAGAAATAATGGCTACAATGTAACCACAAAAGCTGCCACAGGCGGTGGCTCATGCCTGTCATCCCAGCACTTTGGGAGGCCGACGTGGAAAGCTCACTTGAGATCAGGAGTTCAAGATCAGCCTGGCCAACATGATGAAACCCCATCTCTATAAAAAAATCAGCCGGGTGTGATGGTACACACCTGTAGTCCCAGCTACTTGGGAGGCTGAGGCAGGAGAATCACTGGAACCTGGCAGGCCAAGACTGTACCACTGCATTCCAGCCTGGGTGACAAAGTGACACCCTGTCTAAAAAAAAAAAAGAGCTGCTAAAAATTAGACTGCGGAGCTGAGAGTACACAGGGAAACTCCTCAAGTGCAAAACCAAAATTCACATGGGCACACACAGCAGGAGTCAAGAGGTTCCGGGCTCTGAAAGCAGAGCCAAGCCGCCAGGCTTCAGCACAACCTCCCACACGGGAATGCACACAAGGACCCACTGAACCCGAGCTTCCTGCAGAAGGCTGGGAGCCACTCAGGATCACCTGCCTGCCAGCCAACCGCAGCCAGGGGGCAACACACTGCCCGTCCCAGGCTCTGGGTAGCAAGAGGCCCCATGAGAAATCAGAGACCCGGCCTTGCCCTGTGAGTAGAAGTGAAATCAAAAGCACACCACTCATCTAGGTATAGATATCACAGGTCAGGAAATGACCACCGAAACTCACCTGG
Organism: Homo sapiens; assembly: GCF_000001405.40. Lineage (NCBI taxonomy): Eukaryota > Metazoa > Chordata > Mammalia > Primates > Hominidae > Homo > Homo sapiens. Next base: position 21,565 of record NW_003315943.1, on the reverse strand, counting down.
AGTCTGTGAAACCTACAGAACCCTCAGGACCCCGGAGAGGCAAATGCAAAACCATACGCTGGGACACCTCGACAGCCTAAGACATACGCAAGGCCACGCCCCACAGCACTGACCAGAACAGACACATCACCGCAAACCAGGAGGGGCAGCAAACACCTGGGGCGCAACCACGCAAACGCCAGGATGCCACAGGTATGGTGATAAATGAGTGCTACAGAGGACTAGAGGAGAAGCATGCTCCAGACCTCTGCTCAGTTCATTACTGCAACTAAACACTACACTCAGTTCTGTACATTCTAGAAGCAGGGCAAAAAGGGGAGGGGCTGGAAGAGGGACATGACGGGTTGTTACAAGAAACCACTGTAATAAAAGGGAAAAATTACTATGTCGAGAAAACCGTGGTTCTTGTCATTAAGTTAGAGGGTTTTATTACAAAGACAAAAGATGATGATCAAACACTTCAGCTTTAGTTTTGCTAGGGAGGAAGGCTTTTGTAGCTTTTATTGTGACCCTAACCACAGCCTTCATGGTGAGGAAAGGAAGGTATTGCTTTGGGAGCCGAGCTTACTGAGTAGATCAAGCTTGTTCAACCCACGGCCCGAGGGCAGCATGTGGCCCAGGGCAGCTTTGAATGTGGCCCAAAGTAAAATTTCTTAAAACATCATGAGATATTTTTGGGATTTTTTTTTTAAGCTCATCAGCTATCATAAGTGTATTTTATGTGTAGCCCAAGACAATTCTTCTTCCAGTGTGGCCCAGGGAAACCAAAAGACTGGACCCTCCTGGAGCAGGGTTTTCACAGGACAGAGGAGAGACAGGCCAGCACTGGTCTCTCAGCTGAGCTCTGTCTCTCTCCATCACCTGTGATCTCACCCAGTCATTTCTCCACACGCAACAACAGTAAAACAGTAAGAATACCAACAAACTAATGATTATAGCAAAAATAACACAATCCATATACACTCTTCCTGCATGCCGAGGCTGACTTCCAGGACAAACATAAAATAAACAGATCAAGTTTTTTAAGCCTTGCGTCCATTATTAGTGCATTACAATCTTACTTTAAAATACTTCCCCCAACAGGCTAAAACCTATGTCCTTCAGAATACATAAACCTTCTTACAAATCGCTAAGACACTTATAAAAGGAGCAAGAGGAAGGGAAATCACGAATACCTGAAGTCGGGGAAGATTCAGCGTTGCCACGGCCACGCACTCTTTCTCCTGGGGCGGGGGCCAGTCCGCGGAGCCATCCATCCCCTCACTCACCTGCCGAAGCAGGAGATCCAGCTGCTCAAAAGTCACTGAGCAAATATCCACCCCAAAAGGGACATGGAGGCCAATGGACCACTCAGAACACGATGACCAAGCAATGCTCTAAGAGGAAACGCAACAATCGGAAATGAATCTCCAAATGCAGCTCTTGGTCTGTCGCACAGGAGTCACCAGCTTGTGTGATGGAGCTGCCTTATATTATTACCTATCATCCCTCTAACTGCCCAGTGGAAAAGCATTCATGGGTGTCTAGCTCACACACTATCAGCTTCCAATTCTCCCACCCATTTCACTAGCCCCATCTCACTTGGCCATACCTAAAAGAGTAAAAACATTTTAAAAAATCTTTTCACTCTCAAAATGATTAATGCACATTAATGGATGGCAGTGAGGCTCTCCATCCACTTGAAGTGGTATAATAGCAACTCTAACTAGACAATGAATTGTTAGACACATATAACACACACAATACCTTTCATAGTGAGAGAACAAGTAATCGGCAAAAATCTAGGAGAACTGTAGAACACCTTCAATAAACTGGATCTAATTTATAGAACACTTCACCCAACAACAGCAAAATACATATACTTTTTTTTTTTTTTTTGAGACAGAGTCTCGCTCTGTCGCCCAGGCTAGAGTGCAGTGGCGGGATCTCAGCCCACTGCAAGCTCTGCCTCCTGGGTTCACACCATTCTCCTACCTCAGCCTCCTGAGTAGCTGGGACTACAGGTGCTCACCACCACGCCTGGCTAATTATTATTATTTTTTTAATTTTTATTTTTAGTAGAGATGGGGTTTCACCATGTCAGCCAGGATGGTCTTGATCTCCTGACCTCGTGATCCACCTGCCTTGGCCTCCCAAAGTGCTGGGATTACAGGCGTGAGCCACCGTGCCCGGCCATACATACACTTTACATATACTTTTTTTAAATTTTATTTTTTTTGAGATGGAGTCTAGCTCTGTCGCCCAGGCTGGAGTGCAGTCGCACGATCTCAGTTCACTGCAAGCTCTGCTTCCCAGGCTCAAGCCAGTCTCCTGCCTCAGCCTCCCAAGTAGCTGGGACTACAGGCGCCCGCCATCATGCCCGGGTAATTTTTTTTGTATTTTTAGTAGAGACGGAGTTTCACCCTGTTAGCCAGGATGGTCTCGATCTCCTGACCTTGTGATCTGCCTGCCTTGGCCTCCCAAAGTGCTGGACCATACATATACTTTTTAAGCACATACAGACCATACATATACTTTTTACACATATATGTATACATATATGTATATACAGACCATACATATACAGACCATACATATACTTTTTAAGCACATACAGAATGTTCACTGAGAACATAACCTGACACATAAATCTTAACAAATTTAAAAGAAATGAAATCATATGCAGTTTGTTCTCCAATCACAATGGTATTAAACTAGAAATCATTAACAAAACAATCTGCAAACACTTCAAAATAAAACAACATACTTAATAATCCATGGGTCAGGCCGGGCGCACTGGCTCACGCGTGTAATCCCAACACTGTGGGAGGCCAAGTTGGGGGGATCACCTGAGGCCAGGAGTTGAAGATCAGCCTGGCCAACATGGAGAAACCCCATCTCTACTGAAAATACAAAACAATTAGCCGGGCATGGTGGCGGGTGCCCGTAGTCCCAGCTAATCAGGAGGCTGAGGCAGGAGAATCGCTTGAACCCAGGAGACAGAGGTTGCAGTGAGCCGAGATCATGTCATTGCACTCCAGCCTGGGCAACAACAGTGAAACTCCGTATTGAAGAAAAATAATAATAATAATCATCATCATCATCATCCATGGGTCAAAGAACAATTCTCAAAAGAAATTAGAAAATATTTTGAACATAAATGAAAATGCACCAAAATTTGTGGGTTTAATTAAAGCACTGCTTAGAGGAAAATTTATAGCATCAAATCATTATATATTACAAAAAAGATAGGTCTAAATCAGCAATCTAAGTTTCCACCTTAAGAAACCAGAAAAAGAGCAAAGTGAACGCAAAACAAGCCAAAGGAACAAATGCCAAGATAAAAGCAGAAACTAATGAGATTGAAAGCAAAAAAAGAAGGGAAAAATTAATGAAACTTAAAGATCATTCTTTGAAAAGATCAACAAAATTGAAAAACTCTAGGAAAACTGACAAAGAAAAAAACAGAAAAGATACAAATTATCAGTATCAGGAATGAATGAAGGGACATCACTGCAGGCCCCACAGACTTCAGACGGTTAGCAAGAGAACACTAAGGAAAACTTGACACTTAAAAATCAGACAACTTAGATGAAATAAAGCAATGTCCGAGTGCCACAAACCAGGAAAATCCTCCTAGAAACAAACAGGTTACCTGAATAGTTCTGTATCTGTTAAATAAATTGAATTTGTAAAAATTTTTTTTTTTTTTTTGAGCCGGAGTCTCACTCTGTCACCCAGGCTGGAGTGCATTGGTGCAATCTCAGCTCTCTGCAATCTCTGCCTCCCAGATTCAAGTGATTCTCCTGCCTTAGCCTCCTGAGTAGCTGGGATTACAGGCGCACGCCACCAAGCTCGACTAATTTTTTGTATTTTTAGTAGAAACGGGGTTTCACCATGTTAGCCAGGCTGGTCTCAAACTCCTGACCTCAGGTGATCCACCTGCCTCAGCCTCCCAACGTGCTGGGATTATAGGCACGAGCCACCGTGCCCGGCGTAAAATCTTTTAGAAAGAAATCTCCAGGTTCAGATGGATTCAAAAACATTTAAAGAAGAAATAACACTAATTCTACACAATCCCTTAGAGAAAATGGAAAAGGAGGGAACACATGCCAATACTTTGTATAAGGTCAGCTTTCCCCTGACAGAAAGCCAGACGAGATAGTATAATACAAAGAAAGAAAACTGCAAACCAACATCCCTGATGAGCATCAACAGAAAAATCCTCAAAAACGTGTTAGCAAGTCAAATTTAGCAATATAGAAACAGAATAGGGCCGGGCGCAGTGGCTCACGCCTGTAATCATAGGAATATTGGGATGCCAAGGAGGGTGGATCACTTGAGGTCAGGAGTTGGAGACCAGGCTGGCCAACATGGTGAAACCCCATCTCTACTAAAAACAAACAACAAACAAACAAAATTAGCCAGGTGTGGTGGTGCACACCTCTAATCCCAGCTACTCAGGAAGCTGAGGCAGGAGAATTGCTTGAACCCAGGAGGCAGAGGTTGCAGAGAGCTGAGATTGCACCAATGCACTCCAGCCTGGGTGACAGAGTGAGATTCTGTCTCAAAAAAAAAAAAAAAAAAAAGAAAGAGAGTAGTAAATCGTGGCCAAGTGATGCCTATCCCAGTAACACAAGGCTTGGTCAGTATTTAAAAATCAGGCTGGTATAGTGTCTCACACCTGTAATCCCAGCACTTTGGGAGCTCACTGCAACCTCAAACTCTTAAGCTCAAGCAATCCTCCTGCCTCAGCCTCCTGAGTAGCTGAGACTACAGGTGCACACCAGCATGCCACGCTAATTTTTAATTTTTTTGTAGAGATGGGATCTCTCTGTGTTGCCCAAGCTGGTCTCTAACTCCTGGGCTCAAGTGACCCTCTCGCCTATGCCTCCCGAAGTGCTGGTGTGAGCTGTTGCACCCAGCCAAAATACGGCAGATTTGTAGTACCCCAGAAGGCTCCTTCCTGACCTACACTTTCCCACAAAGGAAACTACCCTTCTGACTTCAATCATCGTCAGTTCTGCCTTCCTGCGCTTCATCTAGGTGGGCTGGTACTGTGCACTGTCTCTCATACCTGGCTCCCTCTATTCACCCATGTCGTTGAGTGTTCCTACCACTTCATTTTTCTTTTTTGGCTGTGTAGTATTCCATGATGTGACTGTATCACCATTTATTCACTCTCCTGTTGATGGACATTTAGGTTGTTTTCATTTGGGGCTCTTATGAATAAAAATGGCAGTGAACATTCTTATATAAGTCTTTTTGTGGACATATGCACTCGTTTCTCTTGTGTACATGCTTAGGATGGAATTTCTGAAGGTAGGCATAGATATAGCTTTAGTAGAAGCTGCCAAACAGGTTTCCAATGTGCTTATACAATTTTATGCTACTGCCAGCTTGACAGTTCTTGTAGCTCTACATCTTTACCAATACTCTGTATAACACAGCATTTAACTTTAAATAGAGATAAAACGATGGTAAGATCCAAAGAAGTGTGCATGTTCCTGAAGAACATCCCGTAAAGGGCCTATTTTATTCATCTGTTTCGGGCACTGAAAACCACTGCATGGCTGGATGAGGAAGGAGGCCTGGTACAACTCCCAAGAAGGCATGTGTCCCTCGGGTGGGCTTTGTTTCCCAGAAACTCTGGGGAAGGGGTGGAGAGGCACCTTCTGGGCCAGCTGGTCTCCTCTGGCTTTTCTTGTACCCTAGGGCTCCCTCCAAAGAGACAGAGAACAGCCTGGCCGGGGAGCAGTATCTCCTACTGCGCTTGCTGTGAGCCAGCCACTCTGCCTTCTTTCAGGAATTACAAAATCCACAGGTCCCCGGCATTCTTATTTATGTATTTATTCATTTATGAGGCATGGTTTTCCTCAGCTCTGTTGGATGGGTCTCTGTGAAGGGAGCTTGGTGGGGGCGAGTGGCCGCTCCCTGGAGGAGGCAGGCCCCTGGTCAGGATCTTTGGGGCTCCAGGTCTCATAAGTGGGGGGCCAGGCTCCCTAGAGAAACCCTTCTTGGCTAGGGCTGGGGAGCCCACCAGAGTGACCCAATCAGTTCTCAGGGCCTGTGATGGGGCCAAGTGGTTTTGAGAAGCCAGTGTTCAGCTCCATCCTAAAGAGCACTCATGCACGTTGAGGAGGAGGGCCGGGGTGCACAGCTCTGACCTGAGTCAGACCCACCTCAGGACTTAGCCCAGCAGGAGGCCCAGAGTCACTGACCATAAAACGAGCAGATGCCTCCCCCGTGCTGATGGAGATGAGTCTTGGGCATCAACTCTAATAATTTCTAACTGCACCCAGAAATACTGATTCACACAGCAACTAGTGAATAATAGCCTTTTAGAGCTAAAAAAGCCTCATATATTATAAATTAACATATGCATTTTACACAAACTAGAGGCACCGTGGTGGGCCAGCAGCAGCCTGTTCAGGGGCCACAACAAGGGAGATTGGATTTCCTTAAGTGCAATGGGAGTTACTGGCAAGGCTTTAAGGTTTTAGCCACAGGAAAGATGAAAGTATTTTAGAGCAATGTGGGTGGATTCAAAGTGAGGTTTTGAACTAGATCAGTTTTTTTTTTTTTTTTTTTTAGACAGAGTCTGACTCTTATTGCCCAGGCTGGAGTGCAGTGGTGCTATCTTGGCTCACTGCAACCTCTGCCACCCAGGTTCAAGCAATTCTCCTGCCTCAGCCTCCTGAATAGCTGGGATTACAGGCACCTGCCACCAAGCCCGGCAAATTTTTGTATTTTTAGTAGAGACGGGGTTTCACCATCTTGGCCAGGCAGTTCTTGAACTCCTGACCTCGTGATCCACCTGCCTTGGCATCCCAAAGTATTAATTTTTTTTTTTTTTTTTGAGACGAAGTCTTGCTGTGTCGCCCAGGCTGGAGTGCAGTGGCCCGATGTCGGCTCACTGCAAGCTCCGCCTCCCAGGTTCACGCCAGTCTCCTGACTCAGCCTCCCGAGTAGCTGGGACTACAGGCGCCCGCCACGATGCCCAGCTAATTTTTTGTATTTTTTTTTAGTAGAGATGGGGTTTCACCGTGTTAGCCAGGGTGGTCTCAATCTCCTGACTTCCTGATCTGTCCGCCTTGGCCTCCCAAAGTGCTGGGATTACAGGGGTAAGCCACCACGCCCCTCCAAGTATTAAATTTTTTATTTAAAAAATCTCCCCTCTCCAAAGATCTCCCAGCATTTCTGCAGAGGTCTCTACCTAGGTAAGGAGAAGAAACTATTCTTGGCCGGGTACAGTGGCTCACGCCTGTAATACCAGCACTTTGGAAAGCCAAGGTTGGAGGATTCCTTGATCCCAGAAGTTCGAGACCAGCCTGGCCAACATGGTGAAACCCCATCTTTACCAAAAATACAAAAATTAGGTGGGTGTGGTGGAGTGTGCCTGTAGTCCCAGCTACTCAGGAGGCTGAGGTAGAAGGATCGCTTGGGCCTGGGAGGTCAAGGCTGCAGTGAACCAAGGTGGTGCCACTGCACTCCAGCCTGGGTAACAGAGTGAGATCCTGTCTCAAAAAAAAAAAATTATTTGTGAGGGTGAAATTTAAATACCTTTGTGCATAGCTATCAGTTATTCTTTGTTTTAATATTTAGTTTATTGTGAAATATAACACATATAGAAACATACATAAAACAACACACAGGGCCAGGCCCGGTGGGTCACGCCTTGTAATCCCAGCACTTTGGGAGGCCGAGGCGGGCGGATTACTTGAGGTGAGGAGTTTGAGACCAGCCTGGCCAACATGGTGAAACCCCATCTCTACTAAAAATACAAAAATTAGTCGGATGTGGTGGTGCATGCCTGTAATCCCAGCTACTTGGGAGGCTGAGGCAGGAGAATCGCTTGAACCTGGGAGGCAGAAGTTACAGTGAACCAAGATCGCGCTACTGCACTCCAGCCTGGGCAACGGAGTCAGACTGTGTCTAAAAAAAAAGAAAAAAAATATAGGCTGGGTGTGGTGGCTCACGCCTGTAATCCCAGCACTTTGGGAGGCCGAGGCGGGCAGATCCCTTGAGGTCAGGAGTTCGAGACCAGCCTGACCAACATGGAGAAACCCCATCCCTACTAAAAGTACAAAATTAGCCGGGCATGGTGTTGCATGACTGAAATCCCAGCTACTTTGGAGGCTGAGGCAGGAGAATCGCTTGAATCTGGGAGGTAGAGGTTGTTTTGAGCTGAGATCACGCCATTGTACTCCAGCCTGGGCAACAAGAGCGAAACTCCGTCTCAAACAAACAAAAAACAAAACAAAAACAAAAAACACAGTGTAACATGTTATTATAAAGTCACTGCTCAGGGACCAACTTGGCCGCTCCTGTGCCTCTAGAGGGAAGCTCCTTCCCACTGTTCTTTAGAGTTTTATATGTTAAGTACAGGAGTCAACAAACTAGGCCTATGCACCACATCTGGCACCCAGCCTTTATTTATTTTTTGAGATGGCGTCTCACTCTGTCACCCTGGCTGCAGTGTGGTAGCACAATCTCGGCTCACTGCAAACTCCACCTCCCAGATTCAAGCAATTCTCCTGCCTCAGCCTCCTGAGTAGCTGGGATTACAGGTGTGTGCCACCACACCCGGCTAATTTTTATATTTTTGGTAGAGACGGGGTTTCACCATGTTGGTCAGTCTGGTCTCGAACTCCTGACGTCAGGTGATCCGCCTGCCTTGCCCTCTCAAAGTGCTGGGATTACAGGCATGAGGCATGATGCCTGACCCAGCCTTTTTTAAAATGAAGGTTTCGGCTGGCGCGGTGGCTCATGTCTGTAGTCCCAGCATTTTGGGAGGCCAAGGCAGGTGGATCACCTGAGGTCAGTAGTTGGAGACCACCCTGGCCAACATGGTGAAACCCCGTCTGTACCAAAATACAAAAATTAGCTGGGCGTGATGGCAGGCACATGTAATGCCAGCTACTCGGGAGCCTGAGGCACGACAATCACTTGAACCCGGGAGGCGGAGGTTGCAGTGAGCCAAGATCACACGATTGCACTCCAGCCTGGGCAACGAGCGAAACTCCATCTCAAAATACAATAATAAAAAAAAGGATGTCCTTTTTTGTCTCTCAACCCCGTTTTTTATTTTTTTTTATTTTCAGACAGGGTCTCGCTCTGTTGCCCAGGGTGGAGTGCAGGGGCCCGATCTTAGCTCACTGCGGCCTCAACTTCCCCAGCTCACATGATCCTCCCACCTCAGCCTCCCAAATAGCTGGGACCACAGGTGGGTACCACCATGCCCGCCTAATTTTTGTATTTTTTGTAGAGATGGGATTATGCCATGTTGCTCAGGCTGATCTCGAACTTCTGGGCTCAAGTGTCTCTCTGCCTCCACCTCCCAAAGTGCTGGGATTGCAGGCCTGAGCTACCATGCCCAGCCCTGCTTTAATTTAAAGTGTATTACATTTGATATTAGTACAGCCCCTTCAGCTCTTTTTTGGTTACTATTTTAATTGTATCTTTGTATCCCTTTACTTTCAATCTGTTTCTGTATTTAAAATGTTTATCTTGTAGATAGCACATTGGTGGATCATATTTTGTTCTTCAATCCTTTCAGCCAGTCTGCTTTTCTTTCTTTCTTTTTGAGACAGAGTTTTCCTTTTGTCACCCAGGCTGGAGCGCTATGGTGCGATCTCAGCTCACTGCAACCTCTGCCTCCTGGGTTCAAGCGATTCTCCAGCCTCAGCCTCCTGAGTAGCTGGGATTACAGGTGCGTGCCACCAGGCCTGACTAATTTTTGTATTTTTAGTAGAGACAGGGGTTTCTTCATGTCGGTCAGGCTGGTCTTGAACTCCTCACCTCAGGTGATCCACCGCCTCAGCCTCCCAAAGTGCAGGCATTACACGCGTAAACCACTGCGCCCGGCCAAAGTGGTGGATTTTTTTTCTCAGAAAATCTATTCCATTCTTTTTCCAGAAACCAAATTTGTACAAGTTAACTAAAATAAATATTTATACTCTAATTTTTTTGTTCTGAGGTCTGAGTTTTTAGAATTTTATCTTTACATGTTTAGAAAAATTAGAAAATATAGATAGAACATAACCAAGAAAATAATAACAACTTTCCTTCTGTTCAAAGTTCATTACTATTAGCCGAGTGCAGTGACTCACACCTGTAATCCTAGCACTTTGGGAGACTGAGGCGGGCGGATCACTTGAGCCCAGGAGTTCGAGACCAGCCTGGGCAACATGGCAAAATCCCGTCTACAAAAACTACAAAAATTAGCCAGGTGTGGTTCCATGTGCCTGCAGTCCCAGCTAGTGGCAAGGCTGAGGTGGAGAACCACCTGAACCCGGTAAGTCAAGGCTGCAGTGGTGCAGCCTCTGTCCCCCAGGCTGGAGTGCAGTGGTGCAATGTCGGCTCACTGCAACCTCCGCCTCCCGGGTTCAAGCGATTCTCCTGCCTCGGCCTCCCGAGTAGCTGGGATTACAGTCACGTGCCACCACACCTGGCTAATCTTTGTATTTTCAGTAGAGAAGGGGTCTCATCATGTTGGCCAGGCTGGTTTTGAACTCCTGACCTCAGATGATCCACCTGCTCTGGCCTCCCAAAGTGCTGGGATTACAGGCCTGAGCCACCACGCCCGGCCGTTATTTTTCTTTCTTAGAGGCAGGATCTCACTCTGTCGCCCAGGCTGGAGTGCAGTGGCACGATCTAAGCTCACTGTAGCATTGATCTCCCAGGCTCAGGCGATTCTCCTGTCTCAGCCTCCCGAGCAGCTGGGATCACAGGTGTGTGCCACCACACCTGGCTAATTGTTAAATTTTTTTATTTTTATTTTTTAGAGATGGGGTCTTGCTATGTTGCCCAGTCTGGCAACATGGGATCCTCCAACTCCTGGCTTCGAGGGATCCTCCCGCTTCGGCCTCCCAAAGCGCTGAGAATTACATACGTGAGCCACCACGCCCGGCCTATATTGTTTTATAGTTCTTCAATTTTGTTTTGTGGTCGCTGGAGGTGTTTCCTTCTTCGATTCCCTGCACAGTGCTTCCACAGCTGCTCCATGGAATCTGCCCAAGACTTTTGCTGCGTTCAGTTGAACACACAGGAGGAAGCTCTTCAGGCCCCAGCCAGCCGACCGCACAAAGATGCGTTCTCATACCCAGGGGAGCTGGTCTCGCCACTCGACCCGCGCCCTGGATAGCTATAGTTAGTGTGAGCGCCACCACCCGCCGCGGCGTGATCAAGAGCGCTCCGAGCCAAGCAGTCTCCCGTGGGAGTGCGGGAGTGCGTGCGTGTGGCGGAAATCCCGCCTTCCGGCGCCCGCTGTTGGCCTTGGCCGCAGCCAGGGCGCTCCAAGTAGGAAGATAAGCGGGATTGCTGGAAGCGGGAGAGTCGGGAGGAGCGGCGAAGGGCTCCTCTTCCCCATTGGCTGCGCCCACGGAGCAGCCTCGTTGCGATTGGCCGTACGCGGGGGGCGGCAGTCCCGCGTCGGCCCGCCCCTCGGGCCGCGAGAGGCGCCGGGATCGCGGGCGCCGGCTGAGCCAGCGGCTCTTGGGAGGCTGCGTCCGCGCGCCGGCGAGGCGAGGCGGCCGGGCCCTGCGCGTCAGGTCCTGGCCTGGGGCACCTGGGCGGCCGGTGGCGGGGGCGGTACGGGCGCGGGGCTGGCGGGCGGCCGAGCCCGGGAGGCGGGCGTGGGCGCGGCGGCCGCACCGGGGCCTGCGCGGACCACCCGCGGGGCAGCCTCGGGCCTCTCTCCATCTCTTAAGTGGTGGTGGCTGTGGGTTTTTCTGCAGGCGATCCTTTTGAGTAATTTTTTGTTTCACGCACGCGCCCTGCTGTGGGGTAAAGCGGCAGATTCATGCTGCTGTCATTTGTCGTTAAAACGATGGGCTCCCTGTTATGTGTGTGTACTTCTTGGATTTGAGGGCAGGGGGATGACATTGTGACTTGGCTTCCTGTGACCGTCCATTCTCAAGGTCTCGTCAGCGTGGTGCAGAAACTCGGCACACCCTGCTTACCTTGGAAGGAGGCTTTCCCTTCCCCACCTCCCTCTCCCTCCATCTCTTCCCTCTTTCCCTCTCTCCCCTTCTCTCCCCTCCACCAGCTCTTCTCTCCCCCCTTTCTGTTCTCTCTCTCTTTTTTCTTTTCTGGCTTTCGGGAGTGTCTTTGTAAACTATTAAAAAGCGTTAGGTCTTCAGCGTATGTGTTTACTTGCAGGCCTGAGACCTGGGAGGAAGCTGGAGAAAAGATGCCCTCTGAATCTTTCTGTTTGGCTGCCCAGGCTCGCCTCGACTCCAAATGGTTGAAAACAGATATACAGGTGGGGTTTGACATGTCTTTTTCTTGGTGTGTTTCTGCTTCCATGTTTAAATTTCTCGTGTAAGGCTTTTTTTTAGGGTATGTAAGGGGAAGTCAGTTGTATCTTGCTGAATTAGAGGAGCAGGTTTATTTCCTGTAACTTAAAATGTAACAGTCTTTATGGCTGTTTTTGTAGATCGTGCGCGGCTGCCTTTTAATTAGTTTCTTGCAAGTGCACGAAACTTGAGATCTATTAATAGGCAAAATTTTTTTCCTATTTATTATTACTGGTTAAGAAATCTGCCACACTCCTAACCATATCATGGTGACTGTTGTTTGTTACTGATCGTTTTTGAGCTGTTGAGTTAACTGTGGAGGGGAAAATTGGAGAAGTAAGTTGCAGTAATTATGGCCTATAGAAACTCACTCATTTTATGAGGTCTTGTGTTTGTGTTTCTGGAGAGACAAGAGTTAGTTCAGTTGAGCTGTTTGTTTTGTCTTTGTAACTCCTTATTAAGAGGAGTGCTCAGATTTTCACATCAAGAATGTGAGGAAACAATGTTGGCCTTAGATCCTAATTTTTTGATTTAATGAGATAACTGCAAGCTTGTCAGGACATTATTAAATAAATAATAACTAATATTTCGATAGACAATTATTTACACCCAATCTACTTTTATTTGGAAATGGCTTGGAAAAACTACTTTTGGAACTCCTTATCAGCAGCAAAAAGAAGTGTTTGAAATATTTTGTGTGTGTCTGTATTTTCCTACTCCCTAAGGTTAACCATTTTAAGTATTAAGTAATGTGCCTTGACTGTTCATCAAAAGTCGTGTAGGCTGTTAAGCAGTAGTTGATCATGGATACTTACACTGAAGTGTTATTGCCCCTTCCTAATTTTTTTTTTCTTTTTAAACAGGTATTGAGTGTTGGTAGATATGAGAGTCCAGTGTTTAGAGCTGTGTTGCGTGGCCGGGCGCAGTGGCTCACGCCTGTAATCCCGGCAGTTTGGGAGGCCGAGGCGGGTGGATGCCCTGAGGTCAGGAGTTGGAGACCAGCCTGACCAACATGGTGAAACCCCGTCTCTACTAAAAATACAAAATTAGCCAGGCGTGGTGGTGTATGCCTGTAATCCCAGCCACTCGGGAGGCTGAGGCAGGAGAATCGCTTGAACCCGGGAGGTGGAGGTTGCAATGGGTCAAGATCATGCCATTGCACTCCAGCCTGGACAATGAGAGCAAAACTGTTTCAAAAAAAAAAAAGCTGTTGTGGATGATGGGATTGTTATTCATAGTGTAATGTTACATAAGACAGAGTACAGAGAATTGGGTCAAGAATTGGTGTAGTTACTCTTTGGGTTTGTTTCTCTTTAAACATTTCCTTTGATTTAGCTATAATGATCTGTTTTGTCATTTTAAGTGGATGGGAGAGGTGAGAGATGAGTACTTTCATATTTCTGAAATCCTGAGATTCAGGCAAAGTTTTAATAATTGTTTTATATTAGTGTTTATGTATTTTGAGAAACTTTTTGGAGTAAAGGACTTTACGTAATAAAGTGTTTTTCTTAATAATTGTAATTTAATAACTGCTAAACATGAGTTCTAGTGTCTTGATCTAAAACCAGTTTAATGCTGAATTGAGTTCCTATGATGGGTTGGGCAGATAAACATACAGTGAAGCACCATTTATATCTTAGAGGGCCTGTTGTTTTGATTTATTAAGTTTAATACACAGTACTTGGTCCTTGTTACACATTTCCAATATGATTAGAAAGTCTTTTTTTTTTTTTTTTTTTTTTTGAGACGCAGTCTTGCTCTGTCGCCCAGGCTGGCGTGCAGTGGCGCAATCTTGGCTCACTGCAACTTCCGCCTCCCGAATGCAAGTGATTCTCCCGCCTCAGCCTTCCGAGTAGCTGGGATTACAAGTGTGTGCCACCATGCATGCCCGACTAATTTTTGTATTTTTAGTAGAGATGGGGTTTCACTGTGTTGGCCTGGCTGGTCTCCTGACCTCAAAGCGATCTGCCTGCCTCGGCCTCCCAAATTGCTGGGATTACAGGCGTGAGCCACTGCACCTGGCCAAAAAAAAAGTCATCTAAATTCCTCCTAGGAGTAAGGGAAATGACTAGGTTTTGGATAGTGTGCACCAGAGGAAAAATGTGTTACAGGTCTAAGTAGCATGAAAAAAGTGATTGCTAAGCTTTGTTTTATGTTCCACCAGCATTGGTTGTTAAACACAAGGAATGAATGGTGGTGTTTTACCGTAAGGAATAAGACATGGTTTCCCTCTTTGGGGAGCTTCCCTGCAGACAGGAATTGCAGATGGAAGCCTTGTGCTCACAGGTTTTACCCTTATCTTGTTGAGGATGGCTCTCCCAGCTGGAGTGGGAAGCGCTTCACTGCTTGAGACTTTTGTATTGGAAACAGAATTGACACCTGGGTAATGAATAATACATGGGATAGGAAGATGTTTCTTAGCCATAGGATTTAACCGATCTGTTTTCCACAGCTGTTTTTGTTTGAAATGCCCTTAAAAGTTTTAGTAACTTTAGAAAGGAAGAGTTTTTGGAGTGTGAAAACTTATAATGCTTGTGTGTTATAGAGAGCACTTATTGACTTCTTTATCATAGACATTATTTGGATACGTCAGGCCTAGGGCCCTACATCCAGCAACCTCTAATGCAGGGCTCATTTTATGCCAGGCATATATATGTGGTTATTACATATAAACAGTTTAATTGTACAATACTTTTTTTTTTTTTGAGATGGAGTCTGACTCTGTCTCCCAGGCTGGAGTGCAGTGGTGCCATCTTGGCTCACTGCAAGCCTCCTGGGTTCATGCCATTCTCCTGCCTCAGCCTCCCGAGTAGCTGGGACTACGGGTGTCCACCACCACGCCTGGCTAATTTTGTGTACTTTTAGTAGAGACAGGGCTCCACCATGTGGGCCAGGTTGGTTTTGAACTCCTGACCTCAAGTGATCCACCCGTCTCGGCCTCCGGAAGTGCTGGGATTATAGGCGTGAGCCACCGCGCCCGGCCTGTTCAACACTTTTCTGCTTGGTGTGTGGAGTGATTGAATCACCATGTTTTCCTTCACTGCTCTCGTAAAGAGTAATACGTTACAGAGCTAAGAGGTGTCAGTCACATCACTTTTTATTTTTACAGTGAAAGTACTTGTAATCTGATGTGATTGGTAGTTTTTTAGCAAACCAAAACGTCAGTTAAGCAAAGGAACTATAAAAAACAATATATGATACCTTAAAAGCTTTTTATTCTTAAAACACATGCCTGTTCGCCAGTTTTGTTGTAAGGTAAAGGCGCATGTCTTTGAGCATAAGTCCAGAATGGAGTTATCCTGCCCCTTCTTGCATAAGCTGCACTCAGATGAATTTCCTACAGTTTCTATTTTTGTGTTCTTTTTTAAGTGGCACATGAAATTAGATAGGCATGAAGCAATTTTTTAAAAAACTTTTTATTTTGAAATAATAATAGACTCTCAGGAAGTTGTAAAGAAACTAGAGAGGTCACTGTATATTTGCGCATACTGCCCCAGTGGTTACATTTTATGTAATTATAATAGAGTATAAAAACCCAGAAATTGAAGTTGGTACAATGTGTGTGCGTAGTTCTGTGCCATTCTATCAAGGGTCTGTAAATGTAACTACTACTACAATTTCCTATGCAGAACTGTTTCATCACTACAAAGATGTCTCTCCTGCCTCTCTTCTGCCACCATCTCTAACTCCTGACAACCACTAATCTGTTCTCCATCTCTATAATTTTGTTACTGTGAGATTACCAAGTGATATGTGACCTTCGGAAATGATTTTCTTTACTCAGCATAATGCCCTCAGGTCCGTCAAGGTTTGTTGAGTATATCAGTAGCTAAACTGGGACCATTTATTTGTCTCTTCCTCTAATCATCAATTAAGAATGACTACGCATAAATGTAAGCTCTTAGAGTTAAGCTTATTGTATATAAATATTGTCACTTCGGCTGGGCGCGGTGGCTCACGCCTGTAATCACAGCACTTTGGGAGGCCGAGGAGGGCGGATCACTTGAGGTCAGGAGTTCAAAACCAGCCTGGCGCCCATGGTGAAACCCTGTCTCTACTAAAAATACAAAAGAGTCAGGCGTGGTAGTGTGCGCTTGTAATCCCAGCTACTTGGGAGGTTGAGGCAGGAGAAGTGCTTGAACCCAGGAGGTGGAGGTTGCAGTGAGCCGAGATCATGCCATTGCACTCCAGCCTGGCCAACACAGCAAGACTCCATCTCAAAAAAAAAAATTGTCACTTCATGCTTAGAAATATCAGTAGATGGCTACATGGCTGGGTGTGGTGGCTCAGCCTGTAATCCTAGCAGTTTGGGAGGCTGAGGTCAGGAGATCGAGGTCATCCTGGCCAACATGGTGAAACCCCATCTCTACTAAAAATACAAAAATTAGCTGGGTGTGGTGGCACGTGCCTGTAGTCCCAGCTACTCAGGAGGCTGAGGCAGGAGAATCGCTTGAACCCAGGAGGCGGAGGTTGTAGTGAGCCGAGATCGCGCCACTGCACTACAGCCTGGTGAGAGAGCGAGAATCCGTCTCAAAAAAAATAAAAACGATCAGTAGATAAAAAAAGTATAAACATGAGTATCTTGATAAATTCTGTTCTCAGGCTTTCAGGTTCATAATCCAGTTGATAGATGACATGTAGAAATAAAAGAATTTGTAAACATGGGAGTCTTCATTGACGTTTTTAGGACTGGATTCTAAGGGTGGTTTTTACCTCTAATATCCAAATACTGGTGCCTCAATAGAACAATTTTTGTTTTCAAAATTCCATGATAAAAAAGATGTAGTAACCCTGTATGTGACATTTTGTCAGGTTAATTGAGAGCATTTTGCAGCAAAAAAATTTTTTTTTGTAGAGGCAGGGTCTTTCTTTGTTGTCCGGGCTGGTCTAGAACACCTGCATTCAAGTGATCCTCCTGCCTTGGCCTCCCAAAGTGCTGTGATTACATGTATGAGCCACTGTGCCTGGCCTGGTGTTTTAAAGAACTAACTTTTAACTTTGGTTCTTGGAAAAGACTAGTAATACTAGTTATTAAAAAAAAAGGAAAAGGGTTTAGCCGTAGGACTTTGATGACAATTCCTTTTTTTTTTTTTTTTTTTTTTTTTGAGACAGAGTCTCACTCTGTTGCCCAGGTTGGAGTACAGTAGCAGTATCTCAGCTCACTGCAACCTCCACCTCCCAGGTTCAAGCCATTCTCATGCCTCAGCCTCCTAAGTGGCTGGAATTCCAAGTGTGCACCACCACACCCAGATAATTTTTTTTTTTTTTAAACAGCGGAAGAGGTGATTTATTATATGGTTGTTACACTCGGCCACAAATAAACACAGAAATAGTCCAGAATGTCACAGGTCCAGGGCAGAGGTCCAACATGGGCATTTTGTTTATGAGCAAGGTGGGTCTCAGAGGTGATCGGCGATCAGAGGGCGATGAAGTTCTAGATCCATTGAGACAAGCTCTAGACAGTGGCATGCAGTCCCACAACTTGTACCAGCATCCCCAGCGTCTGGCATTCCATGTTTCTGCTCCTGTGGCCTCCACAGTGCAACAAGCTAGCGGTTTACTTGGACCTCTGCCTCATCTTTCTTCTTTTGCGCTTCAGCCTGCGCATTCGCTTCTTCCTCCACTTGGCTCTCATGGCGCAGAGGTTTCCAAGAAAATGGCGCTAACGCCGAGAGCCAGATAATTTTTTATATTTTTAGTAGAGATGGGGTTTCACCATGTTGCCCAGGCTGGTCTTGAACTCCTGAGCTCGTGATCCACCTGCCTTGGCCTCCCAAAGTGCTGGGAGTACAAGCATGAACCGTGCCCGGCTGTTAATAGGATCTTTTAATTGCTTGACCCTATTAAAGGTAGTTATTTTAAAAGTGTGTTTATAAACCTTGTCCGACCCCATAGATTCCTTAGCCGCCTCTCTCTGTCCCTCTTGGTTGACTCATGCCTGTGAGCCGCCCTTCGGCTCCAGTCTCCGCTGTGATGTCACGCAAGAGAGTTGGAGTATGGCTTCCTGACTGCCTACCAAGGAGCCAGTGACACAGCCTGGAAGGTGTGGCGAGTGTGGGTGTGAATTCCCTGTGGTATGAACGTTCACCACTTTACAAGGAGAGATGAGGGAACTCAGTGTTTTTATTCCTCCCCTTTTTCTTTCCTCCTTGGACTATTTTATGGTGTAGTTTCTTCTTGCAGACCTTCTGGAAAAGCCACATGTGCCTAGTGAATGTGCTGGCTGAACAATTGGTTGTATTTGCAGCTCATTGAGAAGAGGTGGCAGTAACATAGGAGTCAGCACATTTTTTCTATAAAGCACCAGATAGTAAATGTTTATGTGGGCCGTACGTGCTCTTTTATAACAACTCACCTTGGCTATTGTCCTGCGAGAAGCTGCCAGATGTGTATGGCTATATTCCAGGAAAATTTGAATGTCAGATAATTTTCATGTGTTGACATATGATTTTTTTTTTTTTTTTCCTGAGAGGGAGTCTTGCTCTGTTGCCCAGGCTGGAGTGCAGTGGCGCGATCTTGGCTCACTGCAACCTCCACCTCCTGGGTTTAAGCAATTCTCCTGCCTCAGACTCCGGAGTAGCTGGGATTACAGGCGTGTACCATCATTCCTGGCTAATTTTTTTTTTTGTATTTTTAGTAGAGACGGGGTTTCATCATGTTGGCCAGGCTGGTCTTGAACTCCTGACCTCATGATCCGCCCGCCTTGGCCTCCCAAAGTCTGAGATGACAGGTGTGAGCCACCGTGCTTGGCTGACATATGATTCTTTTGATTATGTTGCAACCATTGAAAAATATAAAATCACTTTTTAAATATATGTTTTTCTTTTTTTAGGAAATTAAAGGAAATAAGAATGGCTCCTACATAGGCAGAGTAGGCTAAAATCACACTTAGCTGACTGTGAAGTCATATACTGCATACCGTTGCTTCATTGATCTCCTTGTCTCACTTTCCCACTTCCCTCACCCCATTGTTCCGAGCTGACATCTGCTGAGCAGAGTGTTAACACTTTAGTTCATTCCTCAGGCTCTTCTTTCATGATAGAAGTCTTTATATTTCTGTTTTCAGGATCTACTCTTGGTCTGTTCTGTTGACTTCTATTTTTTTTTTCATTTTTCAATGATGTGGTCTTGTATCTTTGTCATTATTATATTTGCTTGACTTTCAGATATTGTATATGCAATATTGTAGCAATAAGTCGAGGCTCTGGGTAACAATAACTTCCCCCAGAGAGGATGTTCTAGGCAATCCCAGGTCACTGCAGTCCCTTTGGAAATTGAGAGAATGCGAAACTGGGCTGGTTTTCCGTAAAGGCTGGTCTACTTCTAACTCACCTGTATTTCTGGTGTGTGGCCCTTTGAGGTTCCAGCTCAGAGCATGGGGTCTGCCAGGCCTCTTTCTCCTGTGTGAGGGCCCTGGGAGTCTCTCAGAAGCTCCGTTTTGCTTCTCAGTCTCATCCCTGCTTGCTTAGGTTCTCTGGGCCTCTTTCTTCCTCTCGTGGGTCTCAGACTTTAGGAAGACCTCACTATCTTACTGCTTCTAGGATGTCTTCAAATCGACGTACTTAATGTTCCTGTCTGACCTTTCTAATTGTTCTAGGAACCTGTTCTTAACATTTTTTATATGTTGTCCTACGTTCAATAGATGTTTAGTATTTTTCTGTAGGTTTAAGAAAAAAAGCCATATACCTTTACTCATCTGCAAATATTTGAAGATTACTTTTCTGTCAAATTGTAAGGACATGAAAAAGAAACATTTTCTAACCTATACATTAATCAGATATTCATTTGTTATATTATTCAGTTTTGGATTTTATTGCCTGACTCTATAGTTCTGAAGTCACTTTAATAAATGCCTTAACGGGCTGGGTGCGGTGGCTCCCGCCTGTAATCCCAGGCCGAGGCGGGTGGATCACAAGGTCAGGAGGTCGAGACCATCCAGGCTAACACGGTGAAACCCCGTCTCTACTAAAAATACACAAAAAATTAGCCGGGCGTGGTGGCGTGCGCCTGTAGTCCCAGCTACTCGGGAGGCTGAGGCAGGAGAATGGCATGAACCCGGGGAGCCAAGATGGCGCCACTGCACTCCAGCCTGGGCGACAGAGCAAGACTCTGTCTCAAAAAAAAAAAAAAAAAAATGCCTTAACTGTTTGCTTGCCTAGTCCTGATTGGTATTAAAATATTGGTGGCCTATGTATGGGAGCGTGAAGGCTTGCCCTGGCTGCCGTGCTGCAGGTGTGGGTGCATGTTATGGTGTTGGTGGGAAGCGAATAAGCCTTGGAGTTGGGCCTCTTCCCAAATCCCACCTCTCACAGCCTCAGTGTTGTGTGGCCTTTGGTCAAGTCATTGGCCTTCTGAGCTTCAGTTTAGTAACTAACAAAAAGTGAGCCTGTTACTGCCTCTTTTGCTGGGGTCTTTTGACGATGAAAGTGCCTTTACTTGCCATGTCACTTCAGAGGTGTAAGATAGGAATGTGAGATTGGAAAAGATTGGAAAAGAGTTCTCAGCCCAAATAACCTAATTAGAAGCTTCTGGGATCTGAACCAAAAAAGTCAAAAGTTGAAAATCTACTGGGCACGTTTAGGTAAGTCAGCTACTAATAAAAAGCTAATTGGAGACAGTTGTAGAAATAAATACTCTCACTTTACAAATGGAAAGTCCCATTCATTTTTTTCTTTTTCTTTATTTTATTTTATTTTTTTTATGAATAGGGTCTCTGTCACCCAGGTTGGAATGCTGTGGTGTGATCAGAGCTTACTGTAACCTCAAACTCCTGGGTGCAGGTGACCGTCCTGCTGTAGCCTCCTGAGTAGCTGGGATTACAGGCACGTGCCATGCACTTGGGTAATTTTTACATTTCTGTAGAGACACGGTCTTACCATGTTGCCCAGGCTGATCTTGAACTCTTGGCCTCAAGCAGTTCTTCTGTCTTGGCCTCCCAAAGCTCTGGGATTACGGCGTGGGCCACCACGCCCTGCCTGTAGTCTCCATTCTTCTCAGTGCCACGGCTGTCTTCCAGTTGTTCCCAGGCTGCTGCTTCCTCAGTCAGGATCCTGTACTGTCTGTGATCTGGAGAGCTCTTCTCCTGGGCTTCACTTTTGCTTGTTCACAGTCTAACTCTCTGGAGACCTCCTCCAGTGAGGCTTGCTTTATTGCCTTAGTAATGTTCCACCTTTAAGGTGCCCAAATAGTTTTTTGAATGGTGCTTACCATTTATTTGGGTCATCAGTTCCTAGGAGGCTTCCACAGTGCATGTCCTTCCAGGAGTCCAGTGTCTACCTTCCAAAAAA